>NC_000001.11:229365939-229517454 GCF_000001405.40 Homo sapiens
CTATAAATTACCCAGTCTTGAGCAGTTCTTTACAGCAATGCAATAAGGGACTAATACATACTTTTTTAATTTCAATAGCTTTTGGGATACCAGTGGTTTTTGGTTACATGGATGAAATGTATAGCAGTGAAGTCTGAGATTTTGGTGCACCCATCATCCAAATAGTGTACATTGTACCCAATATGTAGTTTTTTATCCCTCACTCCCCTCCCACTCTCCCCGTTCTGAGTCTCCAAAGTCTATTATACCACCCTGCATGCTTTTGTGTACCCATAGCTCAGCTCCCCTCCCACTTTTAAGTAAGAACATATGGTATTTGATTTTCCATTCCGAAGTTACCTCACTTAGAACAGTGGCCTTCAGTTCCATCCAAGTTGCTGCAAAAGACATTGTTTCATTCTTTTTTATGGCTGACTAGTATTCCATGGTGTATATATACACCATATTTTCTTTATCCACACATCAGCTGATGAGTATTTAGGTTGGTTACATGTTTTTGCAATGGTACAGCTAATTACAGGACTAATTAATGAGCATAACCAGGCTTTGACAGTTAGACATCATTATGTAGTGGCATGCTATGAAAACAGAAAACCTTTCATATGTATACATTTGTAGTTAGACCAGGAACATGAAAAGGTATAGCAATGGTCTTCAATTTATTGGGGTCTCTTTGAAAAAGTCTTGGTATTGTCAGGCACACAGTGGGTCATACCTGTCATCCAGCAGTTTGGGATGCCAAGGTGGGAGAATCACTTGAGGCCAGGAGTTTGAGATCAGCCTGGGCAACATAGTGAGACCCTCATCTCCACACAAAAAAATAAAATAGTTAGCCAGGCACGGCAGTGCACACCTGTAGTCCCAACTATTCAGGAGGCTGAGGAGGATGGCTTGAGCCCAGGAATTTGAGGCCACAGTGAGCTATGATCACACCACTGCACTCCAGGCTGGATGAGAGTGAGACTCTGTCTCAAAAGAAGAAAAATTCTTGCTATTTAATAACTTTTTTCTTTTTTATGTTTAAAGTTTTGAAAATGCAGAGGAAGAATTATTTCAACACCTTTAGCGTTGAGTAAGAATTTCTCTTCTTTTCTTTATGAGACAGGGTCTCCCTTTTCACCCAGGTTGGAGTACAGTGGCACAATCACAGCTCACTGCAGCCTCAGGCTCCCTGGGTTCAGCTGATTCTCTCACCTGAGCCTCCAGAGTAGCTGGGACCATGATGCACACCACCACACCTGGCTAATTTTTGTATTTTTTTTGTAGAGACAGAGTTTCACCATGTTGCCCAGGCTGGTTTCAAACTGCTAGGCTCAAGCAATTCACCTGACTTGGCCTCTCAAAGTATTGGGATTATAGGCATGAGCCACGGCCTGGCAGGAATTTCCTTTCTCAACAAATGCAGTTTTTTAATAAATGGTGTCTGGATTAACGAGGCTTTTTTTTTTTGTTTTCAAGACATAGTTTCACACTTGTTGCCCAGGCTGCAGTGCAATGGCATGATCTTGGCTCACTGCAACCTCCGCCTCCCGGGTTCAAGCAACTCTCCTGCATCAGCCTCTCAAGTAGCTGGGATTACAGGTATGCGTCACCAACTGTGGCTAATTTTTGTATTTTTGGTAGAGATAGGGTTTCACCATGTTGGTCAGGCTGGTCTCGAACCCCTGACCACAGGTAATCCACCCGCCTCGGCCTCCCAAAATGCTGGGATTACAGGCGTGAGCCACTGTGCCCTGACAAATGAGGCTTTTGTAGGGGTTGAGATTCAGGAATTTAGAGGAATTTTAGAAATCTTCTCTTAGCCGGCCGGACATGGTGGCTCACGCCTGTAATCCCAGCACTTTGGGAGGCCAAGGTGGGCGGATCACCTGAGGTCGGGAGTTCGAGACCAGCCTGACCAACATGGAGAGACCCCGTCTCTACTAAAAACACAAAATTAGCCAGGCGTGGTGGCACATGCCTGTAATCCCAGCTACTAGGGAGGCTGAGGCAGGAGAATTGCTTGAACCTGGGAGGCGGAGGTTGCAGTAAGCCGAGATAATGCCATTGCGCTCCAGCCTGGACAACAAGAGCGAAACTCTGTCTAAAAAAAGAAATCTTCTCTTAGCCAAACTGAAAGTGACAGGTGATCATTGGTTTACCCCATATTAGTGTACTTGACACTTGACAAGTTGTCTTAGTCAGTTTGCGTTGTTATAAAGAAAGACCTGAGACTGGGTAATTTATAAAGAAAAGAGGTTTATTTTATTTGGCTCACAGTTCTGCTTGCTGTACAATAAGCATGGTGCCAGGATCTGCTTCTGGGGAGGGCTTCAGGCTGCTGCTATTCGTGGTGAGAGGTAAAGGGAAACAGTGGTCATAAGGTGAGAGAAGGGGAGCAAGAGATAGAGAAGGGAGGTGCCAGGCTCTTTTTAACAATTTGCTCTCAGGGAAACTCTCGTGGGAACTGGTAGAAGGAAAGTTCACTCATTACTGTGAGGAGAGATGCACCAACATGATCATGAATACCTCCCACCAGGCCCCACCTCCAACACTGGGATTAAATTTCAACCTGAGCCTTGGCAAGGCCACACAAACCATATTCAAACCATAGCACAAGTAGCCCTCTCTAGTTTCGGAAATAGAGAGTAAAGTTTTCTTGGTTTACTTAAGTGTCACCTCACCCACTGATGGGGTTTCATCTTGTGGAATTCAGAACAGCATTGCTCAATCTGCTTCCTTTGATAGCCTCAGAGCCTTTCAGCTGTTGGAGACAGCCATATCCTATCAGTAAGTCATTCAATCCTAACATGAGAAGGGTCCTAACAGACCATCAAGTCAAACCCTTTGCATTAGCGATGAGGAAATGGAACCTCAGAAACCAAATCCATGCCCCTGAGCCCTGGCCAAGCTCACTCCTCACCTCCCCAGCCTCATCTTTGCTTCTTTACAAATGGCTTCTCCTTGGTGGGAATATGGGCATTTTCTTCTATACCGCTTCTTTATTTTTTCCTGATTTTTATAATATGCATTTTGTTGGTTTTCTTAAAGTAAAAAACTAAAAACATACATATGTTTTAAACATTAAAAAGTTTCTGGCTTGGCGTGGTAGCTCATGCCTGTAATCTCAGCACTCCAAGAGGCCAAGGCAGGAGGATCACTTGAGCCCAGGAGTTTGAGACCAGCCTGGGCAACACGGCAAAACCTCATCTCTACCAAAAATATTTTAAAAGTTTACTAGGCATGGTGGTGCACCCCTGTAGTCCCAACTACTCAGGAGGCTGAGGTGTAAGGATCCCTTGAGCCCAGGAGGTCAAGGCTGCAGTGAGACGTGATGGCACCACTGCACTCCAGCCTGGGTGACAGAGTGAAAACCTGTCTCAAAAAAAAAAAAGTTTCTTTAATTTTGACTCCCCAGTTCTTTTTCACGTGAATTGCCACGATGTTTCCCCCATGGTTAAAAATCTGAATCCAAACTTGACATTTCTCTGGGCTGGCTTTTGACTTATTGGTCTGAGCCCATCATTCCAGGCCTGTCAAGCTTCTAAATTGAATTGGGTCATTGACATACTAGCTTTCCCTATAAGTTTTTTATTATTTACAGATTTGGCAGCAAGATTAATATTTCTGAACATTGACATTCAAGAATAGACTAACTACTTCATTCTCCAGGATAATACTGGTCCAGTTTTTTTTTCTTGTATTATATAATTATATATATATAATTATACTTGCCCCCATGCAAATTTAGTGAGAAATAAAAATACAGCAAATCTTCAAAAAGGAATGTGGAAATGACATATGGGGTAGACATATTTAAATCTTGAGAACTCTAGGATTCTAACCACATTGCAGTATTTTTGAAAGTCCCAAGGTGGTTTTCTCCTTTTAAATTTACATTGTGAATAGATGTTCTGTGGTTGGAAGGGAATGTAGTGATTAAAATTTAACCTACCCCAAACTAAAATCTCTTATGCAACCACATCAAGAGATCCTTAAATATGACCCATGTTCTTGCCTTCAAGGGTTTTCTCCTCTCTTATTTTATTTTTTATTTTTAAAATTGATATATCATAGATGTATATATTTTGGGGATACATGTAATATTTTGATACATGTGTACAATGTGTAATGAGCAAATCAGAGTAATTGGGACAGTGCAGGTTATTTACTGTAGTTGTTCTTTTACCTATCCAATTGTGCTACCACCCAGACCATAGTTCTTTATTTTATACATGGGATTTTATGTCAAATGCTGTATAAAATGTTAAAATATGCTTTCTATGGGATTATTCCGAGGTATGAACCAAGTACCACCCTCTAAACAAGGAACAGTGTGAGTTTGGCATGACCTGCTCTTCTGAACTAGCACAGATTCCTGGCAATCTCTGTATTTCTTCCTAATGTTCATAAATCATATGCTCAGCAATCAACCCCAGGAGTTTTCAGGAAGCTATGTCAAGCAACCCGACAGTTTCTTATGATCTACTCTATTTTCCTTTTCAAAAAAATAAAGAGATGCCTACACGATTCTAATCTTTTTGGTACTTCTACCATTCCCTGTGATGCATTAAAAATCATTAAAAAAAAAGTTTCAAATTATATCCAGGAGCACGGAGCACCATCGGAAAGCCCAGTTCTAGATCATCTGGGCTTGGAGTCTGCAGCTTGGTTAAAATATCTCACTCTGCCCTGCACTCTGCTGTTACCTCAGAGGACAGCTCAGGATGCTGGGGCTGTGGGAAACTCCGGTCTCCATCGTAACTCATGAAAACTTCTCTGGGGGTATGAATTGACACAGAATATTGAGTGCCAGTGAGTTCTCCACGCCCGGTGCAAGTTACAGCTGCAGACATTTTCAAACCAACCAGCTGGGGTCCTCAGGGACTGAACTTCCCCATGGGGCTCCCTCAAGGGCTCAGATGGCATTCCCTGGGCAGCAGGCCAGGGCAGATTAGAGGGTAAATGATACCATGTCCTCCCCCTAAACATCCAGTTCTGGGTGATGCACTTGCCGAGCCCAGCATCATCGTGTGCCGCATTTATAAATAGCTCCCCACTTCTCTGCAGTGGCTTAGGAGCCTTCCTGCACACACACAAAAAAGGGCACTCACTGGATAAGAAAGGAGAGAAATTTTACAGTTCTTTTTCGGCAGGCAGTTTGCATGAAATGAAAGTAGCAAACCAAGCCCTTTACAGAATCAAGGATTTTCAGATTAATTTCCTTTGGGATTCGGATTTGGGGTTTTATGACAACAACGGATTATTCAGCATGTGATGGAAAAATTCCTTAGAGGTTGGGGAACTAAGTTTGAGGGGGAGATGTAAAGAATTGAGATGCAAAATAGAATATTAATATATGACTTAGTTCCTAAAGACACTGATGACCTAATTTGTTTGAGAAGCTGGAAACCCTTTCTAAGCTTTCTTTCTTTTTTCTTTTTCTTTTCTTTTTTTGGATACGGAGTCTCATTCTGTCACCCAGGCTGGAGTGCAGTGGTGCGATCTGGGCTCACTGCAACCTCCACCTCCTGGGTTCAAGCGAGTCTCCTGCCTCAGCCTCCCAAGTAGCCGGAAGTACAGGTATGTGCCACCACACCTGGCTAATTTTTGTATTTTTTTTTTTTTTTAGTAAAGATGGGGTTTTGCCATGTTGGCCAGGCTGGTCTCGAACACCTGACCTCAAGTGATCCACCCACCTTGACCTCCCAAAGTGCTGGGATTACAGGCATGAGCCACTGTGTCTGGCCCCTTTCTAAGCTTTCTGATTTGCCATTACATTCAGCCCAGTCCTCTCACAACACCTCAGTGGAGAACTCAACAGCATCTTCTCACAACTACTGACGGAGGACTAGATCCAGCTTGTCCTGAGAAATAGGAATGGAATCTACTTGGAGAGTGCCCGGCAGAAGTGATTCAGAGAGCAAACATCCTTACCTGGTGGTATTCCACCTAAACCCGGGCAGACGGTGTCCATCCACAGCTTGTAGAACACCAAGGGCTGTGGTTTGAAACACAACACATGTCACCTGACAACCGAAATGAGGGACTGAGGCGTAGGTTTATTCAGCCACTTTAGGGAACATCTGGAAAAACACAAGCCACAGACACATCTGTGGCTGTTTTTCCAAAGAGGCTTTCAGGAAGTTTTGTATTTATACATTTACTTAAAGGAGGGTAGGGGCAGGCGTGTAGGAAGAGGGGCAGACAAGTGGGAATAGTTTTATAGTTAGGTTGGTGCAAAATTACACGTAATGGCAAAAACCACAATTAGTTTGCCCCAACTTAATATATTCTTGTGAGACTTTAGTTAGTGCCTAGTAAATCTACATTTTTACATAAGAGAAAAAAGAGAGTAAAGGAAGAGTCAATTGTGCATGGAAGGTGGAGGAAGGGAAGGTGGAGGAAGGACTCTTGACTTTGTTCTGCACCTGGGAAGTTAAGCATGTAATCCACATTCTCAGTATGGAAGGAACAGACTCATTTTAGGAGCTAGACTTGGCTTGTAGGCCTCAAGTTACAACTGGCATGTCCTCTTTTATGGGAGGCCAGGAAATAACTCCTTTATGAATGATCTGTAGAGGTGGAGCCCTTCTGGTCCTTCACAGATGCCTAAGGCCTTCCCTTTACCTTTCCATGGGGACTGATGCCTAATGTCAGTAACTGCTGTTCATTTGGAAGAGGATGTTGCAATGACTTGGCCTCAGGGCTTAATCTTCACTTTTGCCTAAGTTTGGGAGGTCCTGAGATCTTCTTTTTTCCTTTACACAACCAAATTGCAGAGCTAAGGCATCCAAGATGCTGACCCATCTACTTAGCACTCTGCATGATCAGGAGTGTGAGCTCAGGGCAATGCTGCTCTAAGGATTGATTTTCTCCTGCAGGACACCACCACACTGATGCCCTTATCAATACTTAACTGCTTACCACATCCCAGACGCATTGTATTCCTAGGCCACTGAGCAGTGTTCTCTGCCCAGGGAGCATGCACACCAGAGCTCAGGGCTTGAGGGCCAAGGCTCAGCAGCAAGAGGGTAGCGGAGCCAGGGTTCAGTTTGTGCTGCCCACCTGCAGGTCCACAAGAAGTGAGGGTGCAGCTGGGTCAGAGCAAGGTGGGGAGCCTGATAGAAGCCCCCAGGAAGGATGAGGCCACCCAGGGTTCTGTGATCCCTTGTCCCTCTCCCTGTCTGAGGAGTGCTGTGGGGTGGGGTTGGGGTAAGCCCAGGCTTACAGGAAGAGTAGTAAGTATACTGACACAGTCTGGGCTTCAGGTCCCCACAGAACAGTACAAAACCAAGGAGTCACCTCCCTCTTGGGAGGAAGAGTGTTGATTTCTAAAGAAGAGGCTGGAAATTCTCTCCTGCCTACAGTGGGACAACTGGATAATACACAGCAGAACCTCCTGCCAGAGAGACAGGGATCCACCACCTGGTGTCCACGGGGATCCCAGCTGCATGTGTGAGCCGGCTTGGTCTCTCAGGCTGACCCCGACCCCATCCACTTCCTCCCGCTCTGCCCCAGCTACACTTTAAATCATGATTATCACCTACCTATGTAAGGATCTTGGTTTCCAAACTCACCTCAGGAATCCATGAAAATACCTTCCCTGTGTCTGCCCCTCACCCTCAACTCCAACCCTAAGAGTTGGACTGTGAGCCGGGCGTGGTGGGCATGAGCTGGTAGTTTCAGCTACTCAGGAGGCTGAGCCTGGAGGATTGCCTGAGGTCAGGAGTTCGAGTCTTGCCTGGGCAACACAGCAAGACCCTGACTCTTTTTTGTTTTGTTTTGTTTTTGTTTTTGTAGAGATGGGGTTTCTCCATGTTGCCCAGGCTGATCTCGAACTCTGGAGCTCAAGTGGTCCACCTGCCTTGGCCTCCTAAAGTGCTAGGATTACAGGTGTGAGCCACTGTGTCCAGCCAAGACCCTGACTCAAAAAAATAAAAAAAAAGAAAAAGAGCTGGCCCTGTTTTAATCCAGGCTCAGGAATCTGGGACCTCAGACTTTACCAAGTCCTCTGAACAAACCTGCTGGCCCCCTCTGTGGTCTGCTCCTTAAAACTGCCACACTGTTTGGGAAACTAGGAAAAGTGGTCCTGTTATTCTCCACAGCAGCCCCCAGCTTCAAGCCTTTGGGCCCTGATATCTGAGTGTGAAGAGACACTATGAAAGAAGGCTCTAGAAGAGTGAATAGTGTTTGACTCTCTAAGTGGTCAGGCCAAATCCAGGCCTTCTCTGGCTCTGCGGTCTGCTGCACAGGCCATGCTCAGGTAGACTCAGGAACCTAGCTTGGGACAAGATGTCCTGGGTTCTGCAAGTTTGGGTCTCTGCACTATGGTGTGAGCTTTTCAAAGCCTGGGCCCATGTCTTTTACTCAATTCAACAAATATTTGCAGCAATTATTCACCAATGTAGCTGCACAGTAAAGCTAATTAAGCTTCAGTTTTAGGGACACTCATTTGCACAGGTCCCTATCGAGACTCTGGGAGGAACTTTTCAATGCTTATGGAAAAAGTCAGGTTTTGGTGAAGTTTGCAAAAGTAAGATATCTTCCCTACCACTTTCCCTTAGTTACACTTCCCTCTACATGGGACAGGGGTAGCCACAGGGGATTCAGGATCTAGCTAGAGGGATGTTGGGATGGAGATCCTTTAACTTGGATTTGGCGGGCTGTTTGATGATGAGCAGGAAGTGATAGATACTTCCACACGTAGCCATCTTGGGGACAGCTCCCACGCCTCCTCCTGCCCACTGTGCTGACTCGTTGGGCGCCCGGAGGCCACGGTGCAGCACAGGGGGTGTGCCATGGCCTGAATGTCCCCTACTGAGCCCAGCACTGGGCATGTGAGCAAAGGTGGCACAACAGAGTGGAAATCAATGGTGCCAGAAGCTAGTCTGCAGACAAGCACTTCGGAGACAGGCAAGTGAGCTAATTCACAAAAAGATATGTGATTGTCCTACATCTTAGGATAACATGACTTGCAAGGCTTTTTAAAACCTGCAATTGTTATGATTTTTCACTCCAAATAAATTATTTTGAACCTTTTTTTTTTTTGGTGTTCCTTTTTCTTTTTCTTTTTCTTTTTTTTTTTTTTTTTTTTTTGAGACGGAGTCTTGCTCCTTCGCCCAAGCTGCAGTGCAGTGGCCCAGTCTCTGCTCACTGCAACCTCCACCTCCCAGGTTCAAGCAATTATCCTGCCCCAGCCTCCCAAGTAGCTGGGATTACAGGCACACACCACCATGCCCGGCTAATTTTTGTATTGTTTAGTAGAGACGGGGTTTCATCGTATTGGCCACGCTGGTCTCGAACTCCTGACCTTGTGATCCGCCCACCTCGGCCTCCCAAAGTGCTGGGATTACAGGCATGAGCCACCGCACCCAGTCTCCTTTTCTTAAAGAAATCCTCCAGGCCAGGTGCGGTGGCTTACTCCTGTAATCCCAACACTTTGGGAGGGCCAAGGTGGGCAGATCACCTGAGGTCATGAGTTCAAGACCAACCTGGCCAACATGGTGAAATCCCATCTCCAGAAAAATACAAAAATTGGCCAGGCGTGGTGGCACATGCCTGTAATCCCAGCTACTCAGGAGGCTGAGGCAGGAGAATCGCTTGAACCCAGGAGGCAGAGGTTGCAGTGAGCCGAGATTGTGCCATTGCACTCCAACCTGGGTGACAGAGCAAGACTGCTTATCAAAAAACAAAAAAGAAGAAGAAGCAGCCCTCTAAAATTGTCTGTGCTGTGAGCCTATGGAAGCTGGATATGTCTCTAACTGCATGTTCAATCTGCAGACATTCTTCCAGGCAGTGAGCAAAACAGATAAGACACCTGCCCATGGGTACTACCAATGCCTGCGACAATGCTGGCACTGGGCAGATGCCTCGTGAATGTTGATGTAAAGCCAATGGCACCCTACAAGAGTCAACTTCTCGGGGCGGTCCAGGGCTAGTCCCAACAGCATCCCAGGGTCACTGGGTGTCTTAGTCTGTTTGTGCTGCTGCTGTAAAGGAGTGCCTGATGCTGGGTAGTTTATAAAGAAAAGAGGCTTATTTGGCTCATGGCTCTGCAAGCTGTGCAAGAAGCATGGCGCCAGCATCTGCTTCTGGTGAGGGCTTCAGGGAGCCTCCAATCATGGTGGAAGAGGAAGGAGAGCCAGCTTGTGCAGAGATCACACGTCAAGAGAGAAAGGAAAAGATAGAGAAAGGCCGGGCACGGTGCCTCACGCCTGTAATCTCAGCACTTTGGGAGGCTGAGGCAGATGGATCACTTGAGATCAGGAATTCGAGACCAGCCTGACCAACATGGTGAAACGCTGTCTCTACTAAAAATACAAAAATTGGTTGGGCGTGGTGGCACACCCCTGTAATCCCAGCTACTTGGGAGGAGAATCGCTTGAACCTGGAAGGCGGAGGTTGCAGTAAGCTGAGATTGTGCCACAGCACTCCAGCCTATGTGACAGAGCGAGACTCTGTCTCAAACAAAAAAAAAGGGGAGAGAGAGAGAAAGAGGAGGTGCCAGGCTCTTTCACTGAGAGCGAGGACTTACTCACTACTGTGAGAACGGCAGCAAGCCACTCCAGAGGGATCCGCCCCCATCACCCAAACACCTCCCGCCAGGCCCATCTCAAACACTGGAAATCAAATTTCAACATGAAATTTGGAGGGTCAAATATTCAAACTATAGTACTGGGTCAGGCTTTCAGAACTGCTCCCTAACCTCTTCCAAGAGGTAAAGAGTCCACTCTTGACATCAGCCTCCCCTGCCTCTGCTGCAGGGCAGAAAGATAAAGAGGAGCCTCCCTCCAGGCCTCTGCGGTGAGTGATGAGCTAGTGTCCCACAGCCCAAGCTCCAAAATAGCTCTCATTGGCCCGTCCCATGGCCTAAAATGCTTCCATAAAGATGATTTTCTCGTCTGAACGTTTGTGTCCCCGCAAAATTCATATGATGAAATCAAATCCCCAGTGTGGTGGATTGAGAGCTGGGATTTTTGGGAAGTAGGCTCTGCCCTCATAAATGGGATCAGCGCCCTTATGAAGAAGGCCCGAGGGAGCTTGTCCACCCCTTCTGCTGTGTGGGAACTCAACAAGGAGGTGCCATCTATAAAGCAGAGAAGCGCTCACCAGACACCAAATCTGCTGGTACCTTGATCTTGGACTTCCCAGCTTCCAGAACTGTCAACAATAAACTTCTGTTGTTTATAAACAACCTAGTCTGTGGTATTTTGTTATAGTCACCTACACAGACTAAGACAATGACCTTTTGTGTTTTTTGGGAAAAACCCTAAAATACAAGGAATCCCTGGCTTAGTAAAGTCGGTCAATTTATCACTTATGTCTTATCCAGAATGAGAATAATCCGCTCCCTTTTCTCTGTGATTGGAAATTAAGACCGGCTCACTGGGGCAAATGCGTTACCACTTGGGAGAGTGCTTATCAGCCAGGTGGCATCATGAAGGCCCTGGAAGCCAGCCTGTAGGGTAGGAGAGGGTGCAGGGAGTAAGGGACGGGTACAGAAAAGGAAACAAGAGGGCCCAGAGAACCTGCCCCCTGCTGTATAATTGTGCCCAAGCTCCCGCCTCCCCTGCAGGGAGAAGGGAAGTCTCTCCCTCACCCATGGGGGAGCACTGAGTGGCCACCTCTGCACAGGCCCTCTGCAGGGGCAGATGAGGCAGCCCGAACAGAACCCTCTGCCCGCCTGGCCAACCAAAGAGCCCACGACACTCCATCTGGCCCAACCGCAGCCGAAGGCGGCACCAACTCGCTGCGCCTTCAGGGACTTGCCAGGGCCACTTGAGTGTGGTAAACATGCATTTTAGGCTAAGTGTTTAAAAATAATTATTAGAAAGGTCATATTTATTGTAGAAAACTGGCAAAGGCTGGGCGTGGTGGCTCATGACTGTAATCCCAGCACTTTGGTAGGCCAAGGAGGGTGGATCACCTGAGGTCGGAAGTTTGAGACCAGCCTGACCAACATGGAGAAACCCCATCTCTACTAAAAATACAAAATTAGCTGGGCGTGGTGGCACATGCCTGTAATCGCAGCTACTTAAGAGGCTGAGGCAAGAGAATGGCTTGAACCCGGGAAGCAGAGTTTGCGGTGAGCTGAGATCGCACCTTTGCACTCCAGTCTGGGCAACAAGAGCGAAACTCCGTCTCAAAAAAAAAAGAAAGAGAAAACTGGCAAAATATAGAGAAATAGAAACATTCCTTTAAAAGAAAACACTCATAACCTCCCCATGTGGAGACATGTGCTTCTAGTATTTATTTAAGTTTATTTCATACACATTTTTAATTTATTTTTATTGTTATTTATTTATTTAATCTATTTATTTATTTATTTTTGAGACAGAGTCTCATTGTCACCCAGGCTGGAGTGCAGCGGCAAGATCTCGGCTCACTGCAACCTCTGCCTCCTGGGTTCAAGCGATTCTCCTGCCTCAGCCTCCTGAGTAACTGGGATTATAGGTGCCGGCCACCACACTTGACTAATTTTTGTATTTTTATTACAGACAGAGTTTCACTATGTTGGCCAGGCTGATTTTGAACTCCTGACCTCAGGTGATCCGCCCGCCTTGGCCTCCCAAAGTGCTGGGATTACAGGCATGAGCCACCGTGCCCAACCTATTTTTTATTTTTAAATTTTAATTTATGTATTTTAAGAGACATGGGGGCCTTGCTCTATCCCCCAGGCTGGAGTGCAGTGGTGCCATCATAGCTCACTGCAGCCTCGAAATCTTGGGCTCAAGTGATCCTCCTGCCTCAGCCTCTAGCTAGGATTACAGGCCTGTACCACCACACCTGGCTAATTTTTTAATTTTTGATTTTTGTAGAGATGGGGTCTTGCTATGTTGCCCAGGCTGGTCTGAAAGTCTTGGGCTCAAGAGATCCTCTGGTCTCAGCCTCCTAAAGTGCTGGGATTACAGGCATGAGCTACTGCACCTAGCTTATACACATTTTAAAAAATAAAATTGGGAGCATGCTGATTTTATGATGTAATATGCTGCTTTTTCATAGAATCTGGCATCACAGTCATTTTCCCATGTCACTTCAAAACCTATGAGTATATGCCTCCAGTGGCCACACAGCAGTACATCATAGAGCACAAGCAGTACCTCACAGACCCATCATGCTAGGCTGTATCGTTACATGACCCATCGCTTCCGACTCAGTTCAGGATTAGCATAAACAGCACGACACTCATTGTCTTCGTATTCACATCTCTGCTGCCTCATTTATTATTCCCTTCAGATAGATTTCTGAAAGTAAGATCACAGAATAAGACATTTTTATGGCTTTTGGTTTTCATTTTCCAAATTGCTTTCTAGAAACGTTTCCAATTTCCATACCTCCAGCAGTGTGGGGGAGGGCCCATCTCACTGCAGTTCCCTAGCACATCTCAGAGGTCTGTGTGTGTTTGGTTCTTAGTCTGCCAATCTGATTTGTGAAAGGGCTGACTAAGCTGCTTAGATGATCCCTACCTTGGTCACTCCTAGTGTTAAATATTCTTTATGTGTATTGATTTAGAGATTTCTTATTTTATGTTCCCAGTGCTTCTATATATTATTTACCTTAAGCTCTTATTTGTTTACCTATGTCCTTTGCTTGCTTTTCTATTTGAGTCTTTTTAAGGTTAATTTTATGTTTTCTTCAGGTAGGAATATGTTAACTGTCTCTCAAATTGTGGCAAGTGTTTTCCCCATTGATTGTTTGAAGATGAATTTGGTGGCTGGTTCTGTCAGTCCCGCTGCCTCTGTCTCAGACATGAGGGATGTCTTCATTGAGCAAATCTATCCAGCACACTGATATCTTTCTTGAAACGCAGCCTGAAGGGTAGTGGGCAAACTGATCCATAATGGATGCTTAAGTCTGCAAACTTCCCTCTACTAGATCAAGCGCAGAACTGATTCATCTGCCAGGTCTTTCTTTCTGGCTGTCACCTGTGCATGAGGCCTGCACATGCCTCCTCCAACATCTTTCTCAGCAACCTTACTAAATGCCCCATTGCTTAAGGTCTTAGGCAGCTCCTGCAGAGGGAAAGCCAAATCCCTTGGCAGGATACAAAAAGCCTTTCCTGCTCTGGCCTCTGCCTGCCTTTCTATCCTCATCTCCTCCAGCCCACGCTTAGCCTAAGCTCCAGCAATGCTGTGTTGCTCATCCACAGATATCTGGGTGAGAAACCTTCTATCCTCAGTATGTTTCCCTGTGAAGCTACTGCTCCATGCCCAGGGCTCTCTCGAGGCGGTGCCCCTTTCCGGAAGTCTCCCTCTGTCCACATGCTCCTCTCTCCTTGCCCTCATCAGAATGGCGTGTGCTGTTTGTTTGCTTCTGTCCTGCCAACATGCTGTGGCTGGCTTGGTACTGGGAGCTGGATTTCTTCTCTCTGCAAAGCCCACTTCACATAGTAGGCATGCAATGCAAATTTGCAGAAGGAAAGAGGGGAGGGAGCAGAACGGGTTGTTCCCTGTCTCTATAGATTTTGCGTTACAGAAGAGTGCTTTGCAAAGTGTGAGTCCTTCTACCCATGCAGGGCATCTTAGTGGCTGTTGGCGGCAGTGGTCATATTAGGGTTGTTACTATCATCTACTTTAAAATTAAAGTAGGAACCATCTGTAAAGTCTCACACTGAGCAGGCAGAAAAACACAACCTTCATGGAAGAAAAATCTTTCTTGAAGGGTGAAATTTCTCACTTGGCAAGAGAAATGACTATATGAAGCCAAGGTGATTTGTTTGCTAATTGCACTCTCTTTCTAGGGTTTCAGCAGCCACCAGGTGTGAATGTCAAGGGAACCACACCATCTGCTCGATAATTCTCTGGGGGACCTGTGATTAGATCGGTATATGACATGTCATCCACGTTTTACAAGCACAGGATAGAGTGTGTGTGCACCGTAGGGGCGTCACAAGACAATGCCCTACCAGGGGCTAGGCAGGAGCAGAGCCTGCCGTGCTAAAACGCATTTCTTTGCAGTGTTGAAGGTGGATCTGTTGGGAGACTTTGCCACCCGCCACCTCAGAGGACATCAATGCTGCATCCTGGGTTAGCATCCAGGGTCCTGCCTGCTAGCTCTGCAGGGGCCGCCGCCTTGCCGCCCGCATCCTGCATGAGTGACTTCTCTTTGCCGAATGCTGGAGGTGCAAGGGATGTTCATGAAGGGCCCTCCCCATCTCGTCCCTGCATCAGGCCCTTCTGAGTTGTTTTTTCCTTTAGGCAGCATTCCCTGTAGGCCTTCCTTATCCCAAGATCTGAAGTGCTAATTGTCAGAGCCATCCTAGGAAGCACATCTCCCAATTCCAGGAGTCAGGAGGCCAAGACCTGGGGCTGCAGCAGCAGCACAAGCCCACCAACCTTAGCAACCTAGGCTCTGCCGGGGATGGGACGGACACTTCTGTTCCCTGGAGCCAACATTCACCAACATTCATCCACTTGAGAGTCATCCGGGACTTGGATAATCTGCAAGGTCCAGGTGTCCTGCCCTAGCTGCTGACTGGGTGGGAGCCCGGGAATCTGCATGTTCCCATCCCCCGCAGGGGACTCCAATGAGGCGGCCTGAGGCCCAGTCATCAGGAAACACCACTCTCACTGGGCTGACACACACATTAAGCAGCAGGTGGGGGAAAAGAGCTTCTAGCATATCAGGCAGCACTTTCGCCACCACATTCTGGATCAAAATAGACACCATCTCTCTCCCGACATTTATCAGGTCCCTCCCTGCCCCATGCATTAAAGGATGGTTCAAACCAGAGTGGTTTTTTTTCCAAAAAGGAATTAATATTGGTATTTTTAATTGGATTACATTAGAGTTATATTTTAACTCTAACTTTAAATATAGAGTTATATTTTAACTGGGAGCATGGGTAACTATAAAACTGTTGTTTTTCTAAGAACAGGTCATACATTTGTTTTTTAAAAATTTTTTTAGAAGAGGGTCTCACTCTGTCACCCAGGCTGGAGTGCCCCTCTGTGACAGCCTGCCCAAGGGTGCCAGTGCCAGGCTAACTCCAGCCCTTCTGGCCCACCCAGAAAAGGTTACTAGAATGCGAGTCAGAATGGCATTAATAGAGGGACCACCTTAACCCATCAGACACAGGCTCAATCATTAGCAGATGGTTTATTATTACTATTAATCACTTTGGATTGTTTACTATTAGGGCAACAAACTACATGCAATCCAGCTATTCAGGGCACCTTGACCTGGCCAGAGGGCGTGGAATTCCTCCCCACCCCCAGGGATGGGTACAATGACAGGTTGGCAAGTACGATGGGGCAGACAGTGGAGTGGGCGGCTGGAGGGAGGAGGAGGAGATGCTCAGAGAGCAAAAGGATACAAGTTCAAAGCAGAGTTTTGCCTCAAGCAGGGCTCAGAAATGTGTACCTGCAGAACTGGGACAGGTCACCGGGGGATTAAGAGAGAATCAAGCGTCAGTTACAACTTCCCTGAGCGCAGCCTGGTGCCTCGTGACTGAGGCCTGCTGGCCTCGGCCTGAATGCTGACCCTTCCCCTGGTGTCAGGAAGCAGAGGGGTTTTCATGGGGCCATACACCCCCAGCACCAGCAAGGGGACCCCCAGGGAGCCACTGCCCATCTCAGCGTGTGAATGGGGAGTCGGGGCTGAAGGCTCTCGTAGGCCTTTCCAGCTTTAACGTTGTGTGATTCTGGGTCAGAGAGATTTTTTATATATATATATATATATATATATATATATATATATATACATAAAATTTTTTATTTTTTATTTTTTTTATTTTTATTTTTTATTTTTGAGACAGGGTCTCACTCTCACCCAGACTGGAGTTCAGGGGTGTAATCACAACTCACAGCAGCCTCAACCTCCGGGCTCAGGTGATCGTACCCACTCGGTTTCCCGAGTAGCTGGGACCACAGGCAGGCAGCACCACACCCAGATAATTATTGTATTTTTTGCAGAGATAGGCTTTCGCCATGTTGCCCAGTCTGGTCTTGAACTCCTGGGCTCAAGTGATCCACTCCCTTTGGCCTCCCAAAGTGCTGAGATTACAGGCATGAGCCACTGCATCCAGCTGAAATTTAATATTTGTCAATTATTTTCACTCAAGGCCTAGGGGTAATTATAGGATAAGGGTGACTCCCCAGCAAAAATCAAAGTATCAGGCAAGTAAAACGGAATGATTTACCCTCAGAGTTCAGCATCAGGCAACATTGTGCTAGTGGAAAATTTTTTTAAAGAAATCTGTCTTGGAGTGCTCACTTCGGCAGCACGTATACTAAAATTGGAACTATACAGAGAAGATTAGCATGACCTTCCAAAAAAGAATAAACAAATAAATCTGTCTGCAAAAGCAAATCAGATGGGAAATGTGGCCTCAATCATTCATGAGAGACTGAATGAAAGACTGCCCAGGAGGGAACCTCTAGGACCCACCTTGCCAGTGCTTGACATAGTAGGTGCTCAATAAGTTTGCTTTTTGAGACAGGGTCTTGCTCTGTTGCCCCGGCTGGAGTGCAGTGGCACCATCACAGCTTACTGCAGGCTTGACCTCCTGGGCTCAAGTGATACTCCCACTTCTTAACCTCCTGAGTAGCTGGAACTACAGGCACATTCCACCACACCTGGCTAATTTTTTTCTTTTCTTTTTTTCTTTTTCTTTTTTTTGTTTTTGAGACGGAGTTTCGCTCTTCTTGCCCAGGCTGGAGTGCAATGGCGCAATCTCAGCTCACTGCAACCTCCGCCTCCTGGGTATAAGCAATTCTCCTGCCTCAGCCTCCTAAGTAGCTGGGTTTATAGGCGCCTGCCACCATGCCTGGCTAATTTTTTTGTATTTTTAGTAGAGACAGGGTTTCGCCATGTTGGCCAGGCTAGTCTCAAACTCCTGACCTCAGGTGATCCGCCCGCTTTGGCCTCCCAAAGTGCTGGGATTATAGGCATGAGCCACCGTGCCTGGCCTCTAATTTTTGTATTTTCTGTAGAGATGGGATTTCACTATGTTGCCCAGACTGGTCTCAGTAAGTGTTGTTTTTTTTTTTAAGTACATGGACATACATAAAATATACCTAAACTAAACTACTGTGTTCATCAGAGATTGCTAGTTGCCATCCAAAACCATTCTCCTTTCTTCCATCTTCATTGAACCCCCACTTTTTATTTGAGCATATGCACCCCGAGAATAAAAATTACTTTTCTTAGTCACCTTTGAAGTAACATATGGTCGTATGACCAAGTTCTGACTAATGAGATGTAAGTGGCAGTATCCCATGGCAGCTTCCAAAAGTTTTCCATAAAAGACAGCCACTCCTGTCTTTTCCCTTCCTCCTTCCTTCTGGCTAGAGTGTTTGTGTGATGACTGGACCTGTGCAACCGTATTGGACCAGGAGGCAACCATATGAATTGGGATCACGCACAGCAACATAGAAGAATCCCGGGTGTCTGAGGACTCTGTGGAGTAGACTCACAATTCTTGCCCTGGACTACCTACTGCCAGACTTTTATAGGGAGGAGAAATACATTTATATCTTGTCACTAACAGTGTCTCTTACTCACAGCCGCATCTAATCCAAACTGAGGTACCATGCCATTAGGGATTACAATATCCCTAATCATCTGACACTTTTCCAATAAAACACAAATAAATTTACCCCTGGCCATAAGATTACACATTATAATAGCTAGCATTCATTCCTCCTTACTACAGACCAGATACTGTTATGATAGTAACTCACTTGCTCTAAACAACAAATTATGATTATTACCATTTCCTATTTGGCAAATGAGGAAACCAAATCACAAAGAGATTTGATAATTTGCTGAAGGTTCTACGGCTAGTAAATGGTTGAGCTGGGATTAAAACACCATTTCTCATGCGCATGTGAGGATTCAATGAGGGTGCACACTTTCTGCTTTACTCACTCACCTGTGCCCACTGACTAGAACAGTGCCTCAGGAGTGTTTACTTACCAAATAAATGCCACAGCAATAATGCCCATTGTCAAAAAATGATAAAAATGAAGAAATATAGACAAACTATTTTCCTATAAGAACGAAAGAAAATTTGAGGCTCATCTTGAGTCCTGCCTACAGCTATAGAACTGGATATTAGTGAGCACAAGACAATTGTTTGCACGCTAAATGCCAAAATACAGTACGCTGAGCTTCTCTGGAACCTGAGAGCTCAACCATGCGAAAACGAAGCCGGGTTTTCCTATAATCAAGTTTTAGTTTTGTTTTGAGCCCCTATTTTCTCCCAAGAGCAAATACTCTTGTTATTTCCATACCAACTCCATTAAATGATTAACGATGAAGTTGTTTCAGGATTTAAATTCAGATATTCCCCCACCCTCACCCTCACCCTGCTGTGCCCTGGGGATGTGTGGAGACTCTGGGAGACTCAGGCAATGCTGCAGGTTTAGGGAGCAGGTAGATGATGGCCTCAGTCCACCTCTGCCTGCATTGCCCTTCTGCAGGGGCTTCATCCTCTGCCTCTGAATCCTTCTACTCTGGAGGCTGAGGCAGGAGTATCACTTGAGCCCAGGGGTTCAACGTTACGGTGAGCTATTATGGCGTCACTGCACTCCAGCCTGGGGAACAGAGGGAGTATTTTCCCACAACGTTAAGTTAAACAGATCTATTAAATCTCAGGAAGTGCTCAGAGGTGAAGCAGAAACAAACAAACAAATAAAAAACCAAAAAATCCTAAACAAGCCAAGCTCCGCTGGAGCTGTAAATTCCCTGGAACCACTCTACCGCTGAACTTTGATGTTTAGGCCCCTTTTAGTCAATTTCCTATTCCTTGCTGAGGAAGCATTCTAATGGGTCCTGAGGGGCTCCACTATGGATGTGGCTTTGAGGACTTTGCTTACTTCATGACACCTCTCCTTTAAGGGGGCTCACAGGAGGCAATGACGTCTGGCCTCATTTTTATGAATCATTCTGCTTCTGAGCAATTGGCTTCTTTTTCTCACTGGACACCATGAATTATTGTAAACTGTAGCTGGATTGTTTTACTCAGGGATGGTAAGACAAACAGGCACAGAAATGACTGTCAGGAAGGAAGCAGTTCATACGCACAGGTCCCTAGAAACAGGAGGCACGGCACAGCATGCAGGGCCACTGGAGAAGAACCAGCGTGGGTCAGGAGGCAGGAGGAGGGGAGAACTGTGGGGAAGAGCCTTGATTGTGGTATCTAGGGAAGGGAAGGCAACACATGCAGGCTTGGGCTTGGCTGGTATCTATTATTTCAGCAGGCTCTGGGACATAGAAACTGTTCCCAGTTGTTTGGTAGCCGGCCCTGTGGTGATTTGGGTAAGGGATAGTGGTCCAGATATGACAGCCCCATAGAGAAGGTGGCTGGGGCTGTGGGCTCTGGAGCGGTTGGTTTGCTTCTGAAGGGCATGCTCGGAGTCCTAGTCCTTTACTATCTCTGGGAACTGGCCAACCCTGGGAGGAACAGTCTTCCAGGGTCAGTAAGGCTCCCAAAATATCTAAGCATCAAAATAGAAAGACATGATTGGCCGGGTGCAGCGGCTCATGCCTCAAATCCTAGCACTTTGGGAGGCCAAGGCAGGTTGGATCACCTGAAGTCAGGAGTTCAAGACCAGCCTCGTCGACATGGCGAAACTCTGTCTCTACTAAAAATACAAAAATTAGCGAGGCCTGTGGCGGCTGCCTATAATCCCAGCTACTCGGGAGGCTGAGGCAGGGGAGTCGTTTGAATCCAGGAGGCGGAGGTTGTGGTTAACTGAGATCATGCCATTGCACTCCAGCCTGGGCAACAAGAGGGAAACTCCATCTCTCTCTCTCTCTCTCAGACACACACACACACACACACACACACACACACACACACACACAGATTAATCAGTCATAAAACTACTCATATGTCCCTCCCAGCATAGCTGTTAATAATCTCTGAATGAAATTTACGGTTCACTCTGCACCAGCCTGTGTACTACTAATCCACTCCTAGAGGTATCTTAGCTTTCCAGTCTTAGGTCCCAGTTTCTTCAATTACTTATTTTTATTTTATCTTCTATAATCTTGTATAAACTATTATAAATCTTTCCTGGAATGAGACAATGTATAAAGAAATAAACAAAGAAAAAAAAGCATTGCAGCCTCTTGCAAGGATTTGCACCTTATGAATAAAGACATACGATAATTTTATAAGAAATAATCATGAACCCTACAGTACAACATCCTGCAGCTCATAAAAAAAGGTATTGCAGGCCGGGAGCAGTGGCTCCTGCCTATAATCCCAACACTTTGGGAGGCCAAGGCAGGCGGATCATCTGAGGTCAGGAGTTCGAGACCAGCCTGGTCAACATGGTGAAACCCCGTCTCTACTAATACAAAAATTAGCCAGGCATAGGTGGTGCATTCCTGTAGTCCCAGCTACTGGGGAGGCTGAAGCAGGAGAATCACTTGAACCTGGGAGGCGGAGGTTGCAGTGAGCCAAGATGGTGTCATTGCACTCCAGCCTGGGCATCAACAGTGAAACTCTGTCTCAAAAAAAAAAAAAAAAAAAAAAAAAAAGAGGCATTGCAGCTAGGTCATGAACGTGACCTCCTATTGTACTGTCATAAATGGGTATTTGTTACACATTTAGTTGAAAATAGCTCTGTCCTGGAATGTAACAGCAAATTTTAGGGGTGAGGAGGAATTCCTTCTTTAAGGAGCTCGGAGAAATGGGAATGGTAGTTGTCTTCATCTATTCAGGCTTCCATAACAAAACACAGCAGATTGGGTGGCTCCAAACAACAGACATTTATTTCTCACAGTTCTGGAGGCCAAGATCAAGGCACGAACAGATCTGGTGTCTGGAGAAGGTCACTTCCTGGTTTGCAGATGGCCATCTTCTCATTGTATCCTCACATGTTTGAGAGAGAGCAAGCTCTCTCATTTCTTCTTTGTTTATTTATTTCAATTTGGGGTCTCACTCTGTGGCCCAGCCTGAAGTGGTACAAACATAGCTCACTGCAGCCTCAAACACCTGGGCTCCAGTGATCCTCTCACCTCAGCTTCCCAAGTAGCAGGAACTACAGGCACGCACCACCACACCCAGCTATTTTTTAAAAACTATTTGGGGAGACAGGGTCTCACTATGTTGCCAAGACTGGTCTTGAATTCTTGACCTCAAGTAATGCCCCCGCCTCAGCCTCCCAAAGTGCTGGGATTACAGGCATGAGCCACCACACCTGGCCCTGGTTTATGTTCTTCTGCTCAACCAGGACAGTGACAGTAGCTGGTTGGAGATATCTGAGCAGATGGAGAGGCAGACCAAGAAGTTAAACCACTGCACCTGGCCTGCTGCTTCTTCTAGAAAGACACTAATCACATCATGAAGGCTCTACTTTCACGACCTAATTACCTCCCAAAGGTCTCACCTCCTAATACCATCCCCTTAGGGATTCAGGCTTCAGCATACGAATTTGGAAGGAATATGACTATTCAGTTCATAACATTTATTTTATCTGTCAAGGGAATATTCAGAGACAAAGTCTTTCAAAAGGAAAAAAGTTTGTGGATATAAAAGGGGAAGGAAGCTAGGCTTCAGTAAGACTAGCTCATCCAACAAAAAGTCGAGCAAGTAGTTAACATTTTTTGGTTTTTGTTTTGTTTTGTTTTTTTTGAGACGGAGTCTCACTCTGTTGCCCAGGCCGGAGTACAATGTCGTGATCTTGGCTCACTGCAGCCTTCGCCTCCTGGGTTCAGGCAATTCTCCTGCCTCAGCCTCCCAAGTAGCTGGGACTACGGCCGCCACTCCTGGCTAATTTTTGTATTTTTAGTAGAGATGGGGGCTCACCATCTTGGCCAGGATGGTCTTGATCTCCTGACCTCGTGATCCACCTGCCTCAGCCTCCCAAAGTGCTGGGATTAAAGGCGTGGCCTTAACACTTTATTTCTAAAGCCCACAAGATCACCATGTTTATACCCACCTTTTCATGGTGGAAAAACACCAACTCCTCTCATAATTACCATGCACAATGCTGTGTTATTTCCTCCAACATCAACCCTGCAAAAGTCGGAGATGAGGTTGTTTCTGCTCAGGAGTCCAGGCTTACAGGAAATGCTCAAGATTTTCTTCTTTGGGAACCCAAGCTAGACAGAGTGGCAGTATTATTTTTGTTTTCTATAAAGGCACAAAGTGTTTTTTAATCCCTGTCTGTGGAAAATGATCTGCACACACATTGTAATAATGGCTGAGCCATGTGCCGATTTCCAACATGATGAATCATTTGTTTACATTTTTATCCATTTCTTTTCTCATTGCAATATCATTTCAGCCCATTCAAATACATAATCAAAATCAGTGCCACTCCTAAGAGGACACTTTTTCTTCTACTCATATCAGGAAGTTCATGGGACCATATGGAAAAGTGACTTAAACAAAAGTGACATCTGTCATTTTGCATTAGAGAAGTTGAGAACGTCATACCAAGGTTGCTAAATGCTGGTTCTTTGAGATTTTTTCTTATTCCCTGAACACAATCTGAGACATATGAGTCATTACATCTGTTGATCTTACTGAAGCAGAAGAATATCTAGAATGATCACTATTCTTGGGACTTCCTTTCCACCCTATGACTCTCATATTAAAGAGGCTGAACTCAGAGACAGCAGAGTGCGTGTATGCTCGTTTTGACTTCGAAACCAGGCTCCTAAAACCCATATCAGCGTCTTTATTTGCAAGCACCTGCCTTACCTGAGAATAATAAGGGTATTGAAATCTCACAAAAAGACCCAAGGCAAAAGGATCACACACATACACCTGCACACACGTACATGAACATACACACAGAGTTTTGGAAGGGCTCATGCTTAGCCTGTCTTCCCACCACTTTCAGAGGAGAGAAAAATTTTCCAGGCAGGGACTCAGGGACCTGTTCTGCCAAGAAGACCCAACTTTGATCCTAGTTTCTGCCCCGTGGCTCCTGGAGCCTCTGAGAAGTTGCTTGCCTTTTTCACTCATTCACTGAACACATAGTTGTGGAGCATCTATTTCACCCATTCCAAAATACAGACATTGAGCTAGGTTGACTTTAGCTCCCTGGCACTCATGGAACATTCAGGAACAGATTTTGGGCTCATTCTGAGTGTCAGGCCAATGGGGATACTACCCTTGTTTGTGTTATCTGGTCCGCTTGCCTCCACTTAATTTGGAGGGGGACTCAGAGGGGAACTGTTACGGGTTGAATTGTGCTCCCTTGAAGTTCACATGTTGAAACCCCAATCCTCCGTATCTCACGGTGTGACCTTATTAGGAGTTAGGGTTTTTACAGAGGTAATGGAGTTAAAATGAGGTTGGTCTAATTTAGGGTGGGCTTGAATCCAATATGTCCTGTGTCCTTATAAAAAGGGGAAATTTGGAGACAGTCATCCATAGAAGGAGAATGTCCTGTGAAGATGAAAAAGCCCACCTGCAAGTCAAGGAGAGAGGCCTCAAAAGAAACCAACCCTGCTGACACCTCCATCTCGGACTTCCAGCCTCCAGAACTGAGACAATACATTTCTGTTGTTAGAGCGCTCAGTCTGTGGTGCTTTCTTACGGCAGCCTCGGCCATTGAATACAGGCACCAATTCGAGCCCTTCAAACCCTTTGTCTCATGACACACGCAGATGCCCCTGAGCAGACTGAAGTCCATTCGTGTTTTAATGTCTATGCATCCACCAAAGACTTCACAGACTCCACTCATCCCAGTACAGGTGAAGAGGAATCCAGCAGTGGGCAGGGTGGGTAGGTTGTGGCGTCTCTTGGCTTTGGATTGCTGAACTTTCTGTTCTACCCATTCTTTTGAGGGTTATCTGTTGGGTGTGTCTGCCCACCCACAGGCCAGTGACTCTCTTCTTTGAGAGCTTTTCTCTTCTCTTCCTTCTATCTGTGACAGCAAACTCCCATAGGCCACGTTATGCTGGGGAACCCCCTTGACCAGCCATTGCTTACTGGATCGGGGACAGAATCTTGATTCCAGCTAGATTTTCTTATTCCTGGAATCGTCAACTAGAACTGAGAGACAGCTGAGCTCTGCATATGACTGGACCTGGAAGTGAATTTGGAGCTGAGGGGTGCCCATTCCCTAAGGGAGGCCGGGGAGCCCAGGAAACCGCCGGCATGAAGGGAGGAACAGAGCAGATGCGCCAAGAGAAAGCAGCGGTGGGGAGCGGCACCCAGGCCAGCCCTGGAGGCTGGCTGCCCGCACCCTCACCATGGCTCCCACCCACCCCTCTTTGCTTAAGCCAGCTGGGCTACTTTCTTTGTTCTCGCTACCAAATTTCTAACATACCTCCTTCTCTTCATGTACCTAAATACCTCCAAATACTAATTAAATAGCTGAAAGCAATATGCATAATCCAAAAACATTGATCCCTTTCTCTTTTTTCTTGTTTTGTGAGACAGCGTCTACTCTGTCACCCAGGCTGGAGTGCAGCAGCGCCATCATGGCTCACTGCAGCCTCAACCTCCTGGGAACAGGCAATCCTCCCACCTCAGCCTTCCAAGTACCCAGGACCACAGGTGCCTGCCACTATGCTCAGCTGTGTTTTTTTTCTTTTGTAGAGAAGGGGTCTTACTTCCCAGGCTGGTCTCGGACTCCTGGGCTCAAGTGATCATCTTCTTCTTTTGTCTCCCAAAGTGCTGAGGTTACAGGTGTGAGCCACTGCGCCCAACTAGTTCTTAGTACAAGTACAGAAATGACAACTTCTTTTTGGTTGGAAATAAATATAACTTAAACTTATGTGCTTTGTATTAAGCCAGAGTTGAATTCAAGCCCCAGCTCTGCCACTTACTTGCTGGGTGATGTTGGACAAGTTTCTTAACCTCTCTTAGCCTCAGCCTCTTCGTGTATCACACAGGGATGATGATAAGAGTACTTAGCTGAATAGGTTGCCATAAGAAATCAGGTTCTCTATTGGGTGCGGTGGCTCACGCCTGTAATCCCAGCACTTTGGGAGGCTGAGGCGGGCGGATCACCTGAGGTCAGGAGTTCGAGACCAGCCTCAACATGGAGAAACTCCATCTCTACTAAAAATACAAAATTAGTCGGGCATGGTGGTGCATGCCTGTAATCCCAGCTACTCGGGAGGCTGAGGCAGGAGAATTGCTTGAACCTGGGAGGCGGAGGTTGCAGTGAGCCGAGATCGCACCATTGCACTCCAGCCTAGGCAACAAGAGCAAAACTCCATCTCAAAAAAAAAAAAAAAGAAAGAAAGAAATCAGATTCACATACAGTATGTCTCTAGCCACATATAAAGATATCCACAATCTCATCATTTATTTTGGGTAAGGTTACAGAAGTATGATACCATTTGTTTAATTATTCATATTTACTTGCACTGGAAAAAATCTGCATTTAAACACAGCAAAATTGGATCTCTGAGTGATTTCCATTGTTTTTCTTTTTGCCTCTATTTTCTCATTTTTCAACAAAAACACACATTACTTATATCAAATAAATTAGGAGGACTTTGTGATTCTCTCTCTCTCCCTTCCTTCCCCCTACCTGTCTCTCTCTACCTCCTTCCCTTTCCTGCTTCCCTTATTTCTTTTCTGTCATTTTTTTTTTTTTTTTTTTTTTTTGAAACGGAGCTTTGCTTTTGTCGCCCAGGCTGGAGTGCAATGGTGCAATCTCGGCTCACTGCAACCTCTGCCTCCCAGGTTCAAACAATTCTCCTGCCTCAGCCTCCCAAGTAGTTGGGATTATAGGTGTGTGCCACCACACCTGGCTAATTTTTGTATTTTTAGTAGAGACAGGGTTTCACCATGTTGGTCAGACTGGTGTCGAACTCCTGACCTCAGGTGATCTGCCCACCTCAGCCTCCCAAAGTACTGGGATTACAGGCGTGAGCCACTGCGCCCGGCTTTTTTCTGTCATTTTTTTAAAAATTATAAGGAATAAAAAAGAAATTAAGAAAAAATACCTTCCTCGGTTGTTGGGGGGTGAGGGGTCTGAAATCTTTTCCTTGAAAGAGTGCCGTGTTTGTCATCTTTGAAGTCAGACGTAACTTTAAGGATCATTTCATTTAAACAGTTCTCTTTATGAACAGACTGAGGAACTAATTCCAAAAATATCTGGACAAGTTACATACCTGCAACTTACCTTAAAATGCATCTAAATATCCGTGGATAGAGGGCTGGCAGGTGGATAAATAGGTGATAAAGCAAGTGTGGCCAAATATCAGCAGTCGACTATAGATGCTGAGTGTAGGATGTTTGTGTACAATCCTTGCAACATTTCTGTCTGCTTGAAATGTTTCATAATACAATATTAAGAAAACTCACAAATACATGCAGGTGATAAAAACTCAACTGGGCCAGCTATGGTGGCTCACACTTACAATCTCAGCACTTTGGGAGGCCACGGGAGGATAGCTTGAAGCCAGGAGTTCGAGACCACCAGCCTGAGTAACATAGCTGGACCTCATCTCTACAAGAATCAAGAATTTAAAAAATTAGCCAGGTGCAGTGGTGCACACCTGTAATCCCAGCTACTCAGGAAGCTGAAGTGGGAGAATCGCTTGAGCCCAGGAGTTTGAGGTTGCAGTGAGGAATGATCTTATCACTGCATTCCAGTCTGAGAGGCAGAGTGAGACACTGTCTCAAAAATAAATAAATAAAAATAAAACTCAAGGGCCAGGTGCAGCGGCTCACATCTGTAATCCCAGTACTTTGGGAGGCTGAGAGGAGCGGATCACCTGAGGTCAGGAGTTCGAGACCAGCCTGGCCAATATGATGAAACCCTGTCACTACTAAAAATACAAAAAAAAAATTAGCCAGGCATGGTGGCACAAACCTGTAGTCCCAGCTACTTGGGAGGCTAAGGCAGGAGAATTGTTTGAACCCAGGAGGCAGAGGTTGCAGTGAGCAGCAAGAGTGAGACTCAATTTAAAAAAAATAAATAAATAAAAAATAAAATAAAACCCAAGTGGAACAGAAGTATAGAAAGGAAACAGTACAAGTTCCCTTTCACATCTGCTCTCCACACTCACTGGTCTCCCCAAGGGAACCGCTGCAGACCCCCAGTCCAACCCCCTAAATGTCACTGCCTTACTTTTTAGATGAGCCCTGGAGAAATTCCGTTTCTTACCGGGATCTCACTGCAAGTTAGGAAGCTTCTGCCTCCCAGTCTAAGCCCTCATCATTATTCTCCCTGTCACCCAGGGCTTTGAACTACCCAATATTTCTCTTCACACCCAACAAGCAAGGGTGTCTTAAGAGCTGGTAAAGCCCATAAAGTACTCTCAGCCCCATTCATTCAAAGACACTTGAGGGAAGCAAATTTATCATCCCTAGTGACAAGAGTTTTCCTTGCCAGCATGCAATCCAAAAATTGGCTCCAACCATAGAAATGCACACCTACGCTGACTGATAGTGTGTAAATAACTGCACATCCACCTCAACGTGGCCATTCAGAAAGAAGTTGCCTGGCACTGATGAACCAGAAAAAGTGATGTACAACATGCAGACCAGCCTGGAAATTAGAATGTAAATAGTCCTTACAAACTAATAAGGAAAATGGACGCTCCCTTCAACAAATGGGGAAAGGATACAAACAGGCAAGTCACCAGAGAAAAAATCTGGCCAATAAGCATCTTTCACACACACTCAACAAAAAATAAAGTTCTGACCCAGCAATCCCATTACTGGGTATATACCCAAAGTATTATAAAGCATTCTACTATAAAGACACATGCACACGTATGTTTATTGCAGCACTATTTACAATAGCAAAGACTTGGAACCAACCCAAATGCCCATCAATGATAGACTGGATAAAGAAAATGTGGCACATATACACCATGGAATACTATGCAGCCATAAAAAAGAATGAGATCATGTCCTTCGCAGGGACATGGATGAAGCTGGAAACCATCATTCTCAGCGAACTAACATGGAACAGAAAGTCAAACACTTCATGTTCTCACTCATAAGTGGGAGTTGAACAATGAGAACACATGGACACAGGGAGGAAAACATCATACACCGGGGCCTGTCCGGGGATGGGAGGCAAGGGGAGGGAGAGCATTAGGACAAAAACCTAATGCATGTGGGACTTAAAACCTAAACAACAGGTTGATGGGTCCAGCAAACCACCATGGCACATGTATATCTATGTAACAAACCTGCACATTCTGCACATGTATCCCAGAACTTAAAAAATACAATAAAATAGGCTGGGCATGGTGGCTCATGCCTGTAATCCCAGTGCTTTGGGAGTCCGAGGCGGGTGAATCACCTGGGGCCAGGAGTTCAAGATCAACCTGGCCAACAAGGCGAAACCCCATCTCTACTAAAAAGTACAAAAATTAGCCAGGCCTGGTGGCAGGAGCCTGTAATCCCAGCTACTCAGGAGGCTGAGGCAGGAGAATCGCTTGAACCCGGGAGGCAGAGCTTGCAACAAGTGCTTGCAACAGAGCTTGCAATAAGTGCACTCAGCTTGGAGTGCAAGCTGAGATCTTGCCATTGCACTCCAGCCTGGGCGACAAGAGGGAGACACCATCTCAAAAAAATAAAATAAAGAAAAAAGAAAAAGTAAAGTTCAACTTCACTAGTAAACAAAGAAAATACAAGTGAAGTCAACAATTACATTTCTTTCACACATCGGATTCCTAAAGGTCAAAACAATGATAATAACCAGTGTTGGGACAGGTTGGCCCCTTCACACCCCTCCCATGTCCGCCCCCTTTTTGTTTTACTGATTGACTCTTTTCTACACTTTTTCTGCAGCTGGGGGCTGGCAGCCCACCTTCCCTGAGTCTTCGTTTTCTTCTGGTCCAGGAAGTCACTTGCTTGGCTCCACAGCCAAAGGGAGTTAATCTATGTTTGGGAAAATGCCAGCCGCACATTAGGCTACTTTGGAGAAGTATGTGGTCAGGGAGTTAATTCTACAGGAATTAGAACAAGTATTATTTTCCAGTAGAGACCTGGTTTAGAAAAAATTCAGCTGGAGATGACGCATCTAACACACCTTTTTGGTAATAGTGTCACCTTCCCACTCTCTATTGCTACTTTCGGGGCCCCACTCCCAAAAAAAAGCCAATTTGAAAAGAGAAGAGGAGAGCTGGGTGCCATGGTGCATGCCTGCAGTCCCACCTTCTCAGAGGCTGAGGTGGGAGGATCACTTGAGACCAGGAGTTTGAGGGTGTGGCATGCAGTTTTCCTATCTGTGCATGGCCACTGCACTCCAGCCTTGTCTACTAAGTTGAGCAATAAAACAAGACCTCGTCTCTAAAAAAAAAATTTTGGAAGGCCGGGCGCGGTGGCTCACGCCTGTAATCCCAGCACTTTGGGAGGCCAAGGTGGGCGGATCACGAGGTCAGGAGTTGGAGACCATCCTGGCTAACACGGTGAAACCCCATCTCTACTAAAAATACAAAAAATTAGCCGGGTGCGGTGGCGGGCACCTGTAGCCCCAGCTACTCAGGAGGCTGAGGCAGGAGAATGGCGTGAACCCAGGAGACGGAGCTTGCAGTGAGCTGAGATCGCGCCACTGCGCTCCAGCCTGGGCCACAGAGTGAGACTCCATCTCACAGAAAAAAAAGAAAAAATGGCATCTACTAAGTTCCAGACAGCAGTTAGACACAGAATGCATTAGTAAACACACATGTGGCCCCTTCCCCCAGACCTTGTGTTCTAGTGTAGGAAACTGACAAAACTAGAGGAGAGAGAGGAAATATGATAAACATTATAGAGACATGGAGTGCTTATGGGAAGGTCTCTGGACTAAGCACGCCCTTTATTTGTGATACTTCTGATGCATTTGCTCTGGGGTCTTGCTGATCCTGGAGGGACTACCCCTCCCAGGGTGAGTCAATTCCTAGAGAGAGTAAACAATTCGCCTGCAAGTGAACAAGCCTTTCAAATGCAAACCAACCCATCCAGAGCCAACACCCCAACCACCTCCTGTATGGTGCTGTCATATTCTGGACCACTCTCTCCTGCCCTAATCACCCCAGGTACCAGACAACTAGGGAGAGTCCCTGTGCCCTACAGCCTTTAGATGATCCAAACTAGCCCATCCTCAGCCCACTTACCCTGCCCCACTCCTTCCTTCCCACGGAAATCACAGCAAAGGCTCTTGCCCACCGCTCCCTCACTCCCCCTCTGCCTCCTGACCCACGTGGCGCCTCCCCGTGCGGCTCTGAGTGGCGTGCCGGGCCTCCTGTTTCTAGGGACCTGCGCATATAAACTTCCTCCTTCATGACAGTCAGTCCCATGCTCATGAGTCTCACCAGACCTGAGGAAACAAATCCTTGGTCCCCTTAAAACAGCTTCTCTGCCAGGAGATGCTTCAGCTGATCTCTGAAGGGTGGGAAGAATGCCCAGACAGGAGGAAGGTTGGGACTCACGGGCAGAGGGAGCAGCTGTGCAAAGGCCTCAGGGCAGGAAAGAGATTGCTTGAGGGTCTGAAAGAGACCCCAGTGGGCAGAATATGGTAAACAGGGAGCTACCAGCAGGTGCGTCCTCCACAGCTGTTTTATTTGTTTGTTTGTTTTAGAGATGAGGTCTCTGTCACCCAGGCTAGAATGCAGTGGTGTGACACTAGCTTACTGCAGCCTCAAACTCCTGGCCTCAAAGTGATCCTCCCTCCTCAGCCTCCCGAGTAGCTGAGAATACAGGCACGCACACTGTCCCAGGCCACACCTGAAGATCTGGAAGCCTGTGGTACTTGCAGCTCCTTCTTGGAGTCATTGATGAAAAGGGCGGTGATACAAATCCACACAGAATGGCCTCCTAAGGCTCCGCTGTGAGCTCCTCACGCCACCCACCACGGCCCAAGCAGGGTTCTCGGCCTTCCACCTCTGGAGAGGAATTGCATGAGCTCCTGCTCATAAGCAACCTGATATAGAAGAAAATTCTTTTGAAACTTTCATGAAAATGATTTAAGAGAATATTTTGTACCAGTTAGCGTGGTGTTTAATAATTGAGGGCAGAAAGAACCTTTCAAATATTAAACACTCACGCCCATTTTTCTTGCTATCTGGAGTCTTGTAAACTCCTCCCTCAGTAGATTACCTATTGCATTCTTCATTAGGATTCCACAGCCGAGTCGTCTTGGAGGATTTAGCTGTGATGTGTGAAGTCTCCACTGTGGGAAATGCAACTCTCTTGAGATTACATCAGCTATTGGTGAAAGGACTGAGATACGGCTTCTTTCCTCTCCAAACTGCACTTCTGAAAGAAAACAGGAAGAGAGATAGGTGAGGGAGGAGGACTGGCAAGGGAGCTGGGGGGCAGAGGTGGAGAGGAAGAGTTGTGGAGCCCTCATATGCTCCAGGCACTGTCTTGGGCACTTTTTTTTCCATGTTAACTTTTTTATAGATGTATAATATACATTCAGCAAAGCATCAGATCATGTGCATAGCTTGATGAATTTTCACACACGGTGAATGCACTGGTATATTCCACACCCTAATTAAGAAACAGAACATAACTGGCAACCCAGAAGTCCTTCACTGTCCTCTTTCCATCATCATATCCTCACATGAGTAATCATTGTCTTATTTATTTATTTTTTTAAGATAGAGTCTCGCTCTGTTGCCCAGGCTGGAGTGCAATGGCGCAATCTCTGCTCACTGCAACCTCTGCCTCCCAGGTTCAAGTGATTCTCCCGCCTTAATTTTTTATTGAGATGAAATTAAGATAAGATTTACCATTTTAGAGTGAACAATCTACTCAGTGGCATTTAGAACATTCACAGTGTTTTGCAGCCACCATCTCCCCTGGTTCCAAAACATTTTCATCCACCCCAAATGAACCCTACCTCCACTAGACAGTTCTTCCCCATTCCTCTCCTCCCCTGGGCTCTGAGCAGCTGCCTGTCTGCGATCTGCGGGGATGTACCTGTTCTGGACATCCCAAACAAATGGACTCCTACAATATGTGGCCTTTCATGTCTGGCTTTTCGCTTAGCCTGATGTTTTCGAGACTCATCCATGTTACAGCGTGTATCAGCGCTTCATTCTTTTTATGGCTAAATAATATTCCATTGTATGGATAGACCACATTTTGTCCATCCATTCATCTGGTGGGGACAATTGTGTTGTTTCCACCTTCTGGCTATTGTGAATAGTGCTGGTATGAACACGGGTGTACAAACATCTGTTCGAGTCCCTGCTTTCCGTTCTTTGGGGCATATACCTAAGAGTGGAATTTCTAGGTCCTATGATGAGTTTATATTTAATTTTGGGGTAACTGCAAACTGTTTTCCAAAGGAGTTGCACTATTCTTTTTTCTCATTGAATTGTCTTGGTGCCCTTGTTGAAAATCAGCTGATCATCACAGATTATACAAGACTCAGACTAATCCAATTAGAGTTACTGCCTCACAGCCAAACAACGTAACACAGGAGAAAACTCTCTCTCTGATGGGGAGAAAGAATTCTTTCTTGGAGAGGCCAGCAAGACTCAGACGTGAGTTCAGTCCAACTGGAACCTGAGCACCAGCTACAAATACCTGTCTTGAAAGGATGCAGTGTGCTCCTCTTACATGCCTGGCACCATTCTGAGCACCCTACAAATATCATCTCACATCATCCTCACAGCCATCTCCAGGATACCTAACAGAGGAGGGAACGAAGGCACTGAGAGGTGACGAAGTTTGAGCAAAGCCATGCAGCTGATAAGAGGGGGAGCCAGGACTCAAACCCAGGCAGTTTGGCTCCCACATTTGGCCTCCCAAACACTATACAGGCTGGGTATTCGTCATCTGAAATACTTGGTACCAGAGGTGTTTTGGATTTGGGATTTTTTTTTTTCTTTTGAGACAGGGTCTAGCTCTGTCACCTAAGCTGGAGTACAGTGATGCCATCATAGATTACTGCAGCCTCAAACTCTTGGGCTCAAGCAATCTGCCCAGCTCAACCTCCCAAAGCACTGGGATTACAGGTGTGAGCCACTGTGCCCAGCCAGAATTTTTTGAACTTTAAAATATTTGCATATATTATATAATGAGATCTCTTGAGGATGGGACCCATCTCTAAACACGAAATTCATTTTTGTTTCATATACATCTTATACACATAGGCTCAGGGTAATTGTATACAATATTTTAGATAATTTTGTGCATGAACCAAAGTTTTTATTTCATTACTCTTTGTGGGCATGCTTGCATGGGAGAATCTGGGCATGTGTGGAAAAGATATATTGCAGCTGAAGGGGGCTGGGAGGGCCTTTTCCCCATCGGAGATGCTAAATAAACTGTGTGTAGTGCAACTGCATTTTGACTGTGACCTATCACATGAGGTCAGAGGTCAGGTGTGGAAATTTTCCTTTTTTTTTTTTTTTTTGAGACGGAGTCTCACTGTCACTTAGGTTGGAGTGCAGTGGCACAATCATTGCAACCTCCACCGCCCAGGTTCAAGGGATTTTCCTGCCTCAACTTCCCGAGTGGCTGGTATTACAAGTGTGTGCCACCACACCCAGCTATTTTTTGTATTTTTAGTAGGGACAGGGTTTCGTCATGTTGGACAGGCTGGTCTTGAACTCCTGACTTCAGGCGATCCGCCTGCCTCAGCCTCCCAAAGTGCTGGGATTACAGGCATGAACCACCATGCCAGACCAGGCATGGAATTTTCTACTTGTGGCATTATGTCAGTGCTTAAAAAGTTTTGGATTTAGGAGCATTCAGATATTGGATTTTCAGATTAAGGATGCTCAACTTGTACTAAGTACGTAAGGTACTTGTACTAAGTAACTAAGGAAGGAGCCTAACACAGGCCCTGCCGAATCTCAAGCTCTCAAAAAAGAAAAAGGAAAAAAGCCACACAGTGGCTCATGCCTGTAATCTCAGCACTTTGGGAGGCTGAGGTGGGAGGATCGCTTGAGCCCAGGAGTTCAAGACCAGCCTGGGCAACATAGCAAGATCTTGTGTCTACTAAAAATAACAACTTTTAAACTAGGTGGGAGTGGTAGTGTGTTCCTGTAGTCTTAGCTACTCAGGAGGCTGAGATGAGAGGATCGGTCAAGCCCAGGGATTTGAGGCTGCAGTGAGCTATGATCACACCACTGCACTCTAGCCTGGGAGAGAGAGCGAGAACCTGTCTCAAAAAAACAAGGAAAACAAGAGTAATTATTCTTTGTAAAAGGGAATAATAACATCTACCTCATAGGTTTGAGATTATACATGTGCAAGTACTGCTACATAAACTCCCGTGTGCCATTCCAATGTGGCTTCATGAGCTCCAGATGAAGGACCGAGGTTCTGCCAGTTTTTTCACTGGCCACGTCTGTGAGATAACCAAGGACTCCTATTTGTGGAGAGTCCTACTGGCTGGCAGAGGAACCTTACATCAAGGGACATATTTCTGGTTTAATCTTAAACCAGCTACAATGCCAAAGAATAGAGCAGGGTTTTTTTTGTTTTGTTTTGTTTTTTCAAGGCATCCTCAAACTCACTGAAAGCTCAGCCCATCTATTTCTGGAGAGGCTGAGAACACATGGAGCCCCCACACTCACAGGCACGCGCACACACACACCAACTCCACCATCCCGCATGCCCAGCTCCAGGAAGCTGCCTTTCCCTTGGAGACACTTTGTTATTTGGAAAGAAAAAGCAACATGTGAAAATAAATCTTCAGGTTGCAGAGGACATATCTATAGGATATTGTTGTCATCTTGATATTCAGGAAATGAAGATGCTCTAAATAGCAAAGGCAGATCATTACTGCCTTCCAAGGAGAGTTGGCAAGAACTCCAAAGAAGGGAAACCGAGTTTGCCTCCATCCAAGTAGGATTGATGCATGTAACAAATTTGCTTTTGATGTGGAAGTGGTGGAAATGAAAGCGTCAACGTTAATTACCCCAGGGTAACAAGTTTGTAATATGGATCCCAAAGAAAAACATGCCCCTTTGCAACATGGTCTCTATTTAGGTTTGGCTCATCCCAAGAAGAGGCAAATCAGCCCAGGAAAGGGTCATTTTTCATAACACACTTGTATTCGTTTTCTATTGCTGCAGTAACAAATTACCACAAACTTAGTGGCTTCCAAAATACAAATGTATTATACTTTTAGAGGTCACAAGTTTGAAATGGGTCTCAAATCAAGGCGTTGACAAGGCTGTGTTCTAGGGGAGAATCCATGAGCCCAGGAGTGAGGCCACCTTCACTCCTGAGCTCATGGTCTCCTTCTGCCATTGCCCCTCCAACGCTGTGTCTATTGTCCCACCTCTTTCTCTGACTGACCCTCCTGCCTCCCTCTCATAAGGATGCTTGTGATTAAATTGAGCCCATTCAGAAAATACAGGATGTTCTCCCAACTACAGAGGTCCTTACCAGTCCTTTTTGCCATATGAAGATAACAAGTTCACAGGTTCCAGGGATTAGGACACAGACATCTTTGGGGGTCATTATTGTGTCTACCATTCAACTGTAGCCTTTTGTGCTTCCAGAGGAACAGGTGAGGAGACCACTGTGCCTGCTCCAATCTGAGGCAAGTACAGGAGGGAACAGGGTTGTGGTCCTGTTCTTCCAGGAGCACCATGGAAGATGCAGCATCGAGATTGTGGGGGATGAGAGTAGACGGAGCAGGTGGCCTTGGACTTGGCCTTCCTTTTTATTTATTTAGGGTTTTTTTTTTTTGTACAGGGTTTCATTCTATTGCCCAGGCTGGAGTGCAGTGGTGCAATCATAACTCACTGCAGCCTTGAACTCTTGGGCTCAAGTGATCCTCCCACTTCAGCCTCCTGAGTAGCTGGGACTACAGGCACGTGCCACCATGCTCCACCAATTTTTTAATTTTTTGTAGAGATGGGGGGGGTGGTCTAGCTATGTTGCCCAGGCTGGTCTCGAACTCCTGGGCTCAAGCAATCCTCTCATTTTGGCCTCCCAAAGTGCTGAGAATACAGGTGTGAGCCTCGACACCCTTTTAGAAAGGCCCTTCCTTTCTAAATAACAATGACAGCTACTACCAGTAACTGAATGGCTGCTGTGCACCACACACCCAGCTGAGCATTATATAGACAACATCACCTTTATCCTCACAGTAATCTTGCAACTATTTCTCTTGTTTTTATACACAAGGAAGTGGAGGCTTGGAGGAGCAAGGTGGATCCCCCAAGAACACACATCTGGATAGAGATCACTGAGATTCAGTAACCATCAGACTCAGAGTCTGCTCCTAAACACCACACACCACCCGCTCTCTCCACCCTCCCCATCCCCAGCCTATGGGAAGCCTTTGTCAAGAGGTGCCAGCCCACAGAGGTCACACGGGCCCTGAACGTCTGAACTGCATGACCGGGACCCATGCTCCCAGGGTGGTCCCTGCACATCCTACCTTTTCCTTAAGACCATGAGCTCATCGGGACAGGAGAAAGGTCTCCCCTTGCCCTGTTATTTCCCCCAGTGGCCAGCAGAGTGCTGGGTACACAGTGGGTGCACAATTAGAGCCTATCTCCTTGACTTACCTGCCTCAGATTTACATACCAGGATGGAGCACATATTAAGCACCTCACCCCACGTGCCCTCAGCATGGCCCCACCTGGTAAGGTCTTGAGCAGAAGGAAGAGTGAGGACACCTTCTCCACACAGCCTCTCCTCAATAAGACCCTTCATGCTTCATCCTCCAGGGTGTTTTCAGCCAAGATTCTTTCTCCTTTAATCCAGAAGCGTCTGGGATCTATGAGCCCTGTATGTCCCTTGGATGTGTCTTCTGTGTCCTTGACTTGCAGAGTGAGCGAGATCTAAAGATCCAGTGACACAGCCCTTTTGCCCCGGTGCAGAGGAGGGACAAGTGGAAGGGAGCCGGGGCCTGCTCCCACCCTCACCACAAAGTCCTCTACAACAGGCTGTGGGGGACGGTGGCCAGTCACTACCATCAGCCCCAAAGGCGGAGGCAGAGCTCAGGCCATGACACTAAATTGAGGGCCACTTTCGGACTGCAGGACCAGGAAGCCAATAGCCCCTGGTGGTGGGAAGAGATTGTGCTGCGAAGGAGGAACACTAGAATGACCTTTTCCTGCAGGAGCAAAGACCAGGTTTCTCATGGTCCTTGTGGCCAAAGCAGCACCTGTGGGCACACCTGCCCCTCGGGAAAGGGGAACCTGTGGACGCTAATGATCCAGCCAGGGCACCTAGAGGTTTCTGAGCAAGGACACCCCATCCAGCAGGAGGTGCCGGCATCAGCTCTAAAGTGACCAAGGAGCTACCAGCATAGTAAGGGGGAAGGGTGGCACCCAGAGACCAGAGAAAGGATGCCCAGAAGACAAAGGCCAGACCATGAGGACAGGACTCCTTCCCATCCTTATGAGAGCTGGCTCTGGAATGAGGGGCTATTTTGTGGGGATGGGCCATTTGAGTCTGACTCCATTGGTAGCTATATGATGGCAGGCAACTGGGTGAAAAGTAAAAATAGAGTCCTCTTGAGATAGATACAAAAGTAAAAATACATATGTCCTCTTGAGATAGAAATTGGATAAGCAGCCAGGTGTGGTGGCTCATGCCTGTAATCCCAGCACTTTGGGAAGCCGAGGTGGGATGACTGCTTGAGTCCAGGAGTTCAAGACCAGCCTGGGCAACATAAGGAGAGCTCATCTCTACAAATAATAATTTTTAAAAAGTTAGCTGGGTGTGGTGGTGCACACCTATGGTCCCAGATACTCAGGAGGCTGGGGTGGGAGGATTGCTTGAGCTCTAACAGTTGAGGCTGCAGTGAGCCAAGATCATACCATGGCACTCCGGCCTGAGAGACAGAGCAATGCCCTTCTTTTTTTTTTTTTTTTTTTTGAGACGGAGTCTCGCTCTGTCGCCCAGGCTGGAGTGCAGTGGTGCGATCTTGGTTCACTGCAAGCTCCGCCTCCCGGGTTCACACCATTCTCCTGCCTCAGCCTCCCAAGTAGCTGGGACTAAAGGCGGCCACCACCATGCCCGGCTAATTTTTTGTATTTTTTTAGTAGAGATGGGGTTTCACCGTGTTAGCCAGGATGGTCTCGATCTCCTGACCTCGTGATTCGCCCACCTGGGCCTCCCAAAGTGCTGGGATTACAGGCGTGAGCCACCGCGCCCGGCCTGAGCAACACCCTTAACAGAAAGTAAGGAAGTGCTGGATAAACAGAAGTATTATGGCATGTCAAAAGAACACAGGAGCCAACCCAAAAGAGCTTCAGATGGGCAAAGCTGGAACCATTTAAGCAACAAAATAAAGAACAAATAATCGGATTATAACCCAAGGTACAAAATAAATATATGTACTTTCATACTGATGTAAATTATGATTGAATAGTGAGAAAGGGTGGCTCCTCCCTACAAAGGATTCCAAACAATATATTAGATGCATCCCCATCCAGGAGGTGGAGTTTAATCTCCCCACCCACAACAAGCCTGGGCTCCAAAGAATGTTGTAGAAAAAGCGAAAAACAGTGACTTAAGAGTAGAGAGATCTGGCGGACACCACCTTAACCAAATGATTAGTGTGAACATTACCAGAGATGGCGTGCCATGTACCCGCTGCTAGGATGCCGTGAGAAGGGCATTCCACCTTTTTTTTTTTTTTTTTTTTTTGAGATGGAGTTTCACACTGTCACCCAGGCTGGAGTGCAGTGGTGCAATCTCAGCTGACTGCAACCTCTGCCTCCCGGGTTCTAGCAATTCTCCTGCCTCAGCCTCCCAAGTAGCTGGGATTACACGCACCCCACCACACCACACCCAGCTAATTTTTTGCATTTTTAGTAGAGACAGGGTTTCACTATGTTGGCCAGGCTGGTCTCAAACTCCTGACCTCATGATCCACCTGCCTCAGCCTCCCAAAGTGATGAAATTACAGGCATGAGCCATCACACCCGGCTGGCACTCCACCTCTTTAGTGTTCTTTCCAAACACCCACAACCCCAGGCTAATCATGAGAGAAACATCAGAGAAAATCCACATTGAGGACATTCTACAAATCTCCATCTACAAAGGAGTATTACCAGACTCCTCAAAACTGTCAAGGTCACGAAAAACAAGGAAAGACTGAGAATCTATTACAGACCAGAGGAGAATAAGAAAACATGATGGCTATGTATAACGTGGCATCCTCAATGGGATCCTGGAAGAGAAAGAGGGCATTCTATGGGAAAACAGGTAAAATCCAAGTAAAACCTGGAGTTTAAGTAATGTGAATGTACCAGGCATGGTGGCTCACACCTGTAATCCCAGCACTTTCAGAGGCCAAGGTGGGAGGATCCGCTGAAGCCGGGAGTTCATAGACCAACCTGGACAACAAAGCAAGACCCCTCTCTCTACAAATAATTTTTTTACAATTCAAAAATAGGCCGGGCGTGGTGGCTCATGCCTGTAATCTCACCACTTTGGGAGGCCGAGGCAGGTGGATCACTTGAGGTCCAGAGTTCGAGACCAGCCTGGCCAACATGGTGAAGCCCCATCTCTACTAAAAAATACAAAAATTAGCCGGGCGTGGTGGTGCATGGCTGTAATCCCAGCTACCTGGGAGGCTGAGACAGGAGAATCTCTTGAATCCAGGAGGTGGAAGTTGCAGTGAGCCTAGATTGTGCCACTGCACTCCACCCTGGGCGACAGAGCAAGACTCCATCTCAAAAAAAAAAAAAATGGAATTTGCCATAACTGATTCTTTAGTGTGATGGTTGTACCAAGGTAATGTACAGTGTTAACAATAGGGGGAACTGGGTACAGGATATATGGAAACCTATGTCCCACCAGAGCAACTTCAAATTTTTCTGCAAATCTCAAATTTGCCCAAAATAAAAGTTTATTTGAATAAAAGCTTGAGCTCTAATTGAGGTTTTAAAAAAATGTATCCTTTTAAAAATGCATTCAATGAACACACATATAGAACTTCACCTGCTCAAGGCACTATTCTAAGTGCAGCACAAATGTTAACTCCTCATTGTGGTCTTGTTATCCCATGTAACCCCTCTGCTGCTGTCTGGCTCAGCGGGACATTCTCCTCCACTTACTATCCTACCTCTCAGCTCATGTTTGTAGCCTGTGGTCGGCACCATATCAACCAAGGTTGGTCTCAGCCCCTGCTCTGATTGCCATCAAAAAAAGTGTCGTGCCCTCCACACAGCCCCCAAAAGACAAACAAAGGCCATTCACAAAAGACCTCTGTGTGTATCAGATGTCTCTGCTGTTTCAGAAGCAGCGGTTGGGCAGTCTCCACCAGACAGAGAGCCCGGCCTCTGACCACTCTCCCCCTCTCCCCTCCCCTCCCGCCCTGGTCTCTCGGTTTAGTTCATGCTGAGGTTGGTCGCTTGTTTCATTCACTGTCTCCTACGCAGTCCATGCCACGGGGGATAAGTTTTTCACAAGTGGCTTTTTTTCCCCACAGTGAAGAGACGTGGCCTGGGTCTGGAGTTCCTCAACCGGCAAAATACGACGTGAACAGCTCCTGCACCCAAAAAGGCCCCGAGTTAACTCTGCTGCATAGGCGAGGCAGGCACCGCGCCGCCAGTCGGGGACGCAGAGCGAGCGCGTCCTCTGGGATTTGAAGGCCGCCCCCGTCAAAGTTGGCATTCGGGGGCCTGCGTGTTCCGGAGCTACGGAGCGGCAACTGAGGCAGGAGCTCAGGACTGGGGGGAGAAAGAGAGACCCTGGAAGCGATTAACGTGCCCCTTGCTTTACAGATGTGGCAGATAAGACACGAGAGGGAGCTCTGGTCCCCGAGGGGCTGTCCCGGGAGGGAGCGAGGTGGGGAGGGGGAGCAGGCCCTGCCCCGAGCACCCCGCGGACTGAGCGTCTGGCGTGCACGGCGGAGGGGTTACCGCGGGGAGGTGACACCCCAGGGTGGTGAGGGCACGCAGATGAGGCTGGCCTGAGGGGTGCCTGCTTTGGGGAAAGCAGTCTGTGGAGGGAGGGAAGGAGGGCGATCGCGGCCCCACGCGGGTTGTGCTGCTGAGGCTCCGCGCCGCAGGAAAGGCACCCTAGCCGGATTCGCCCTCGGACGCCCCAGCTGGGCACACTCACGCGGCTCTCCCGCGGCTTCTCGGGAATTCGCCTCCAGGGCAATCAGCTCTTCGCACAAACGTTCAAACCAAGGTAAGAGCTATCAGATCCAGCCAGATCTGCTTCCTAAGCCTGGCCAGGGCCCTAAGCACCCCCACCCACACGCTCAGAGGCGGGCGACGCCGAGGCAGCGCGAACCCGCCCCACGCGGTCAGCTCCAAGGCGCCCTGTTTAGCGTTACCTCTGCGACCCTGGGATGGGCCTGGGCAGGGGCTGGCTTCCCCTGGCTAAACGCAGTCAATGAAGGGGGTTCACTTTCCTAAATACGCCGGCCTCTGCCCATATCCCCCGTGCAAAAACGCAGGGCCCCTCTCCCTCCAGTCGATGGTCCTTAGGCGTCGGAAAGGGCAGAAGAGTTCGCTTTTCTCCCAGCCCGAAGCTTAGCCTAACAGGGCCCTGCCTGTGGGGCAAGGTGGGCCCTGCCCTGGATGGGACCCCACCCACCCCTCCAGGAGCAGTAGGTCCCATTGAGTCACGATATTATCCACCCTGGTAAACTTGCTCGTATGTTACCAAGAGGAGGAGGCTGTTAGGCCCTTGTCAGCCGTGAGCTAGGATAATCTAGGGAACAGAAAGAAGCCATCAGGTGCAGGGTGCCGGAGGGACATCTAAGCAAGGCAGGCCTCATGTGGCCTCATGGACAGTGGGGATGAGAAATGGCACCTTCTTCATTCTGCCTGGAAGCAGGCAGTGGGCCAGGTCTCTCTCAGCCGGGCTGAGGACCCTGGACAGAGCTCAGATTCCGGATACAGTTCCTCCACAGAGTGGGGTGGGAATCCGGGTGGGCCCCACCCACTGAGGCTCACCCAGGCTGCAGGAATCCCTGGGACCTAATAATACACACAAATCAGAAAACGGGCTGCAGGCCCTGGCCATGCAAGGAGAGAAAGAAAGCTGACGCCTGTCCTAGCCTGTCCCCACTGGCCTTGCCCTAAAAGCAGCAGGGCGTCTGGTCCCAGAGCCCAAGGCCTCACTGGCTGGGCAGCCAATAGCATCCCTATATCAAGAGGATGAGCACGCTGCAGGGAATGGCAGGCATGTGGCCCAGCTGTCACAGTGAGCACAGCCCCATGGGCCCGCCTGGGCTGCCTGCCTCAGGCTTCTCCCACTCCACAGCCTCCTTCCTGTCCCAGGCTCTGGAGCCAGCAGAGGAGCTGCAGTCAAACCAGCTCAGGCACTTTCAGCCTAGTTAGGAAGACCAGGCAGCTGTAGGGAGGGGAAGGGGAATAAATACAGCCTGATAATGGGGAGCCTGTGAAATGGAACACAAGGAGGTCGCTTAGAGGACGGCAAAGGTAAAAACCTGCTTAAGGAAGGCGGAGGGTACTGTTCTCAACACTGGCTCTGACTGACGGGTTCTAGAGGGAAATGCTCCCTTTTATCTCCCACCCAGGAAGGAGTCTGAGAGCTTCCATGCCCCAGACTTGCCCACCATCCCCACCACCACGTCCCCTCTGAACATTCCGTGACGCTAGAGACACAGGCTCCAGGACTTTATGATCCACCATCAGCCTTGTTTTTCAAATCTACTCAATGGGAATACGTCTAGCTTTCCTCCTAAGCAGGCAGCTCATTACATCCTTGGCCCTGGAGGAAAGTTCCCTTCACCCAGTTCAGGGTGGATACAGATGCCAGGAGACTCGCTGATCAGCCACCAGGCCCTCTCTGAGCCGTCCCTGGGTGTAAGGACCTGCATGGGCTCCTAGGGGGCACGTTATGAAGGAAACTTGGCCACTGCTTTCAAGGAGTACCTGAGATTAACAAGACCCAAGTGAGAAAGCTGGTGCCGAGGGAGGGTGTCCAAGCAGTTCAAGGCTACCTTCTGCCCAGAGTCGTGGACCCCACACACACAGCTCCGTGTGCATGTGAAGGAAAGGCAAAGCAGTTTGAATTCCTGATCAGAAGGGTGGGAGCATGGTGTGGAGTGAGCTCCCAGGCCTCCCTGGAGCCAGGCACCTGAGCCACTGAGAGACAACGTCCCTGAGAAGGGACCAAAGTGCAGAGAAGGAGGGGGTGGTGCAAGGGATGGGGGAGGGGGGCGCAGGAGAGCTCAGGGTGTGCACTGAGGCCGCGGGCCCGGGGAGCTCCCAGGCAGGGTCTGGATGCTCTTGTCTTTCCCCCAGACCATGAGAATCCTGGGGAGATGCCCACCAGTGCCGCTCTCCTGGCTCTTAAGTTTGGATTTAAAGCTGTGCTTACTTATCCAAGGGGCTGGGAGAAAGCACAAGCCCTTTGTCAGCGGCTCTCTTCTTCCTTCTACGTTCAGGCAGAGTGCGGGAAGGAAAGGACAGCTGATACCCAGGAGCCTCCAGAAAGGAGAGGGCTGTGCCATGGCCAGGCACCCCTGCACCCCTCCCCCAACACCCCAGGCATGGTCATCGGGCCCTTGGAGCTTTGCCAGGGCCAGGACTCTGCTTCGGCGTGCAGGCAGGACCTGGGAACCTGGGTCTCTGGCATCTTGTTCTGAACGTGGGGATTCTTCCGGAGGGCAGAGCAGACGTGCCCATGCCTCTTCTCCACCAAACCCAGGAGCTGGGAGCGAACAGCAGGGCCGGCATCCATCCCAGGCACACAGGGGCACACATCAGCTCTGGCTGCCCATCCCTCTCTGAGCATTGCAGAAAGGCGGGTGCCGCAGGGCTCCCAGCTCACCCCAAGTTCCTCTTAGCAATAGAAAACCTGAATTCCCCTCTTCTGAGTATTTTGAAGGCAACAGGATGTACATGTTCAACATTCATCTTCTGGTTTGAGCTCGTTCCGCGGTTCTAGCAGGGGAGTGGTATACACTTGACCACAGAACCGTTGTCCTCTATCAGAGAAGATTCTCCTCTTCCACCCAGCACGCAGCTTCAGGAGAGATCCACATGGAGCAGTGAGGGAGGAAAGGGATGCCTGCCTAAGCCAGCAGGTGTCAACCCATTCGAATCAACCCTCTGCAGAATGGTAGCCCCAGGCGGCGTGCCTGTCATTTGCTCTGATCATCTATTATGCGCACCGCATGATAGCAGCAGCCCCCCACCATCTGTTTAGGATCCTTATTATGTGGGTGTCACATTTAAGTGCCTATTAGCACAGCTTCCCTGAGCCCCTCCTGCAGCTGCTACCACCCTTTGGTGCCAAAGCCCAGGCGGTTGTTCTTGTTGACTCTGTTCTCCTTCCCAGAACACTGATTACTGCTGGGAGGGCTGGCAACTCCCCACAGCCCTCTAGAGCAGCAGCTGAAAGCGCCTGGTTATTAAAAAGGCTTAGAGCTCCTGATAAGAGAGAAGGATCGCTTTATAATTCCTATGTAGACTTCTAAATTATTCCCTCGGCCCTCATCCTCTGCCACCAGATTCCCCTCCACCAGTTGGAAGGCTTAGTTAACGAGTCAGATATGAGCAGGCGCTGATATAAAAATAGAGGCAGGCAGTGGGAGCTGGCACTGTGACTCACCGTGTGGCAGGCGTGGGGCTCTGCAGACAGCTGCAGGCAGGCCTTATGCCCTCCCCCTCGGCCTCCTCTTCCCCTCCCCTACCTCTCCCTGTCCCCTCCTCCCCCCCTCCCCCTCCTCCTCTCTCCTCTCCTAGTTCCCTCTCCCTTCCTTCCCTTTCCTCCCCTTTCCGTCTCCCTTCTCCCCCCCACCCCTTCATCTCTCCTTCCTCCCTCTCCCCTCCCCCCTCCCCTTTCCAGCCCCAGAGCACAGGCCTTCAAGCAGACCCTGGGTCCAGCCAGGCTTTTTGAGCAGGTTTCTCATATTTATCATTCCCTCGAGGCAGTGAGTGAAATGGGAGGGAATGCCGAAATAGCACAGACTCTCATTCTCCTGCGGGCTTTTTGAGTTTTCTGCAGAGAACATTCTAATGACCCTCCCTTCCAGCCCCAAGGCTCCAACAGACTGAGAGGAAGTAAAAGGGCTGCTGGGACCCAGGTCGTACCGCAATCTCAGGCCCAGCCTGCCCCCGTCTCCCCACTAGGCACGCCATCTCCAGGGCTCCCAACTTGCCTGGTTCCCCACACCAGCCGAAGCTCCCAAAGGAAGGTGCCCTCGTTGAGCATCCAAATGTGTGAATCAGAGACCTGAAAGCTATCATTCAGTTCTCCCTCCTACACCCACCGAGGCCAGGTTCTGTGTGCATGTGTGTGTGTGTTTCTCTCTCCCTCTGTCTCCTTAAAACAGTTCAATGGATTTCCATTGCTCTTAAAATAAAAATTATATATACATTCAGCAGTGGAGGGTCTGCACAGGCTAGATTGGCCAACTGTGCCTCCTTGACAACCCCACGCCACCCCTACCCTCTCTCCCAGCTACACTGACCTCCCTTCAGGACTTAAAGGATCCCAGGACCTTGCTAGAGGTGTTCAACCTGCCTTTCAGAGCTGCACTTGCTCTGGAAGCCCTTCCTGACCGAGGATTGGTCAATGCTGTCCCATGCCACACCCCTCCTTTGTAGCATGTGTGAAATGTGCAGAGGCACATTGGTTCAAGTTGCTATTTGGTTGTTTGCTTGAGATGGAATCTTACTCTATTGCCCACGCTGGAGGGCAATGGCACAATCGCGGCTGGCTGCAACCTCTGCCTCCCGGGTTTGAGGGATTCTCCTGTCAGGCCTCTGAGCCCAAGCTAAGCCATCGCAGCCCCGGTGACTTGCACATATATGCCCAGATGGCCTGAAGTAACTGAAGAATCACAAAAGAAGTGAAAATGGCCGGTCCTTGCCTTAAGTGATGACATTACCTTGTAAAAGTCCTTTTCCTGGCTCATCCTGGCTCAAAAAGCTCCCCTACTGAGCACCTTATGACCCCCACTCCTGCCAGCCAGAGAACAACCCCCCTTTTGACTGTAATTTTCCTTTACCTGCCCAAATCCTATAAAACTGCCCCACCCTTAACTCCCTTCGCTTTCTTTTCGGACTCAGCCCACCTGCACTCAGGTGAAATAAACAGCTTTATTGCTCACACAAAACCTGTTTGGTGGTCTCTTCACATGGACGCGCATGAAATATGTTGCTGTGACTGGGATCAGGGGACCTCCCTTGGGAGATCAATCCCCTGTCCTCCTGTTCTTTGCTCCGTGAAAAAGATCCACCTACGACCTCAGGTCCTCAGACCCACCAGCCCAAGGAACATCTCACCAATTTTAAATCAGGTAAGTGACCTCTTCTTACTCTCTTCTCCAACCTTTCTCATTGTCCCTCAACCACTTTCTCCTTTCCACTCTTCAATCTCTCCCTTTTCTTAATTTCAATTCCTTTCATTTTCTGGTAGAGACAAAGGAGACACGTTTTATCTGTGGACCCAAAACTCTGGCGCCGGTCATGGACTGGCAAGGCAGCCTTCCCTTGGTGTCTAATCATTGCAGGGACACCTCTCTGATTATTAACCCAGGTTTCAGAGGTGTCAGACCATGCAGGGACGCCTGACTTGGTCCTTCACCCTTAGCAGCAAATCCCGCTTTTCTGGGGGAGGGGCAAGTACCCCAACCCCTTCTCATGTCTCTACCCCTTCTCTGCCTTTCTGGGGGGCAAGAAACCCCCAACCCCTTCTGCTTCACTCTTAGCGGCAAGTCCTGCTTTTCTGGGGAAGGGGCAAGTACCCCAACCCCTTATCTCTGTGTCTCTACCCCTTCTCTGCTTTTCTGGGGGAGGGGCAAGTACCCTTCAACCCCTTCTCCTTCACCCTTAGTGGCAAGTCTCACTTTTCTAGGGGGCAAGAACCCCCAATCCCTTATTTCCATGCCCCAACCCCTTTCCCACTTTTCTGGAGGGTAAGAACCCCCAAACCCCTTCCCTCCGTGTCTCTATGCTCTCTTTTCTCTGGGCTTGCCTCCTTCACTATGGGCAACCTTCCACCCTCCATTCCTCCTCCTTCTCCCTTAGTCTGTGTTCTCAAGAACTTAAAAACCTCTTCAACTCACACCTGACCTCAAACCTAAATGCCTTATTTTCTTCTGCAATGCCGCTTGACCCCAATACAAACTTGACAGTGGTTCCAAATAGCCAGAAAACAGCACTTTGAATTTTTCCATCCTGCAAGATCTACATAATTCTTGTCGTAAAATAGGCAAACGGTCTGAGGTGCCTGATGTCCAGGCATTCTTTTACACATCAGTCCCTTCCTAGTCTCTGTGCCCAATGCAACTTGTCCCAAATCTTCCTTCTTTCCCTCCTGCCTGTCCCCTCAGTCCCAACCCCAAGGGTCGCTGAGTCTTTCTAATCTTCCTTTTCTACAGACCCATCTGACCTCTCCCCTCCTCACCAGGCTGAGCTAGGTCCCAATTCTTCCTCAGCCTCCGCTCCTCCACCCTATAATCTTTTTATCGCCTCCCCTCCTCACACCTGGTCCGGCTTACAGTTTCGTTCCGTGACTAGCCCTCCCCCACCTGCCCAGCAATTTCCTCTTAAAAAGGTGGCTGGAGCTAAAGGCATAGTCAAGGTTAATGCTCCTTTTTCTTTATCCCAAATCTGATAGCGTTTAGGCTCTTTTTCATCAAATATAAAAATCCAGCCCAGTTCATGGCTCGTTTGGCAGCAACCCTGAGACGCTTTACAGCCCTGGACCCTAAAAGGTCAAAAGGCCGTCTTATTCTCAATATGCATTTTATTACCCAATCTGCTCCTGACATTAAATAAAACTCCAAAACTTAAATTCCAGCCCTCAAACCCCACAACAGGATTTAATTAACCTTGCCTTCAAGGTGTACAATAATAGAAAAAAGTTGCAATTCCTTGCCTCCACTGTGAGACAAACCCCAGCCACATCTCCAGCACACAAGAACTTCCAAACGCCTGAACCGCAGCTGCCAGGCGTTCCTCCAGAACCTCCTCCCACAGGAGCTTGCTACATGTGCCGGAAATCTGGCCACCGGGCCAAGGAATGCCCACAGCCCGGGATTCCTCCTAAGCCATGTCCCATCTGTGTGGGACCCCACTGAAAATCAGACTGTTCAACTAACCTGGCAGCCAGTTCCAGAGCCCCTGGAACTCTGGCCCAAGGCTCTCTGACTGACTCCTTCCCAGATCTTCTCGGCTTAGCAGCTGAAGACTGACACTGCCCGATCGCCTCGGAAGCCTACAGGACCGTCACAGATGCTCTAGGTAACTCTCGCAGTAGAGGATAAGTCCATCCCCTTCTTAATACGGAGGCCACCCACTCCACATTACCTTCTTTTCAAGGGCCTGTTTCCCTTGCCTCCATAACTATTGTGGGTATTGACGGCCAGGCTTCTAAACCTCTTAAAACTCCTCAACTCTAGTGCCAACTTAGACAACATTCTTTTATGCACTCTCTTTTAGTTATCCCCACCTGCCCAGCTCCCTTATTAGGCCAAGACATTTTAACTAAATTATCTGCTTCCCTATTCCTGGACTACAGCCGCATCTCATTGCCAGCCTTCTCCCAAACCCAAAGCCTCCTTTGCATCTTCCTCTTGTATCCCCCCACCTTAACCACAAGTATGGGACATCTCTACTCCTTCCCTGGCAACCGATCACATGCCCATTACCATCCCATTAAAACCTAATCACCCTTACCCCGCTCAACGCCAATATCCCATCCCACAGCACACTTTAAAAGGATTAAAGCCTGTTATCACTCGCCTGCTACAGCATAGGCTTCTAAAACCTATGAACTCCCCTTACAATTTCCCCATTTCACCTGTCCTAAAACTAGACAAGGCTTACAGGCTGATTCAAGATCTGCGACTTATCAACCAAATTATTTTGCCTATCCACCCCATGGTGCCGAACCCATATACTCTCCTATCCTCAGTACCTCCCTCCACAGCCCATTATTCTGTTCTAGATCTCAAACATGCTTTCTTTACTATTCCTTTGCACCCTTCATCCCAGCCTCTCTTCACTTTCACTTGGACTAATCCTGACACCCATCAGGCTCAGCAAATTACCTGGGCTGTACTGCTGCAAGGCTTCACAGACATCCCCCATTACTTCAGTCAAGCCCAAATTTCAACCTCATCTGTTACCTATCTCGGCATAATTCTCATAAAAACACTCGTGCTCTCCCTGCTGATCGTGTCCGGCTAATCTCCCAAACCCCAATCCTTTCTACAAAACAACAACTCCTTTCCTTCCTAGGCATGGTTAGTGCGGTCAGAATTCTTACACAAGAGCCAGGACCGCACCCTGTAGGCTTTCTGTCGAAACAACTTGACCTTACTGTTTTAGCCTCGCCCTCATGTCTGCTTGCAGTGGCTGCCACTGCTTTAATACTTTTAGAGGCCCTCAAAATCACAAACTATGCTCAACTCACTCTCTACAGTTCTCATAACTTCCAAAATCTATTTTCTTCCTCACACCTGATGCATACACTTTCTGCTCCTCAGCTCCTTCAGCTGTACTCACTCTTTGTTAAGTCCCACAATTACCATTGTTCCTGGCCCAGACTTCAATCCGGCCTCCCACATTATTCCAGATACCACACCTGACCCTCATGACTGCATCTCTCTGATCCACCTGACGTTCACCCCATATCCCCACGTTTCCTTCTTTCCTGTTTCTCACCCTGATCACATTTGGTTTATTGATGGCAGTTCCACCAGGCCTAATCGCCACTCACCAGCAAAGGCAGGCTACGCTATAGTATCTTCCACATTTATCATTGAGGCTACTGCTCTGCCCCCCTCCACTATCTCTCAGAAAGCCGAACTAGTTGCCTTAACTCAAGCCCTCACTCTTGCAAAAAGACTATGCGTCAATATCTATACTGATTCTAAATATGCCTTTCATATTCTGCACCACCATGTGGTCACATGGGCTGAAAGAGGTTTCCTCACTACGCAAGGGTCCTCCATCATTAATGCCTCTAATAAAAACTCTGCTCAAGGCCGCTTCACTTCCAAAGGAAGCTGGAGTCATTCACTGCAAAGGCCATCAAAAGGCATCAGATCCCATTGCTCTAGGCAACGCTTATGCTGATAAGGTGGCTAGACAAGCAGCTAGCTCTCCACCTTCTGTCCCTTACAGCCAGTTTTTCTCCTTCACATCAGTCATTCCCACCTACTCCCCTGCTGAAACTTCCACCTATCAATCTCTTCCCACACAAGGCAAATGGTTCTTAGACCAAGGAAAATATCTCCTTGCAGCCTCACAGTCCCATTCTATTCTGTTGTCATTTCATAACCTCTTCCATGTAGGTTACAAGCCGCTAGCCCGTCTCTTAGAACCTCTCATTTCCTTTCCATCCTGGAAATCTATCCTCAAGGAAATCACTTCTCAGTGTTCCATCTGCTATTCTACTGCCCCTCAGGGATTGTTCAGGCCTCCTCCCTTCCCTACACATCAAGCTCGGGGATTTGCCCCTGCCCAGGACTGGCAAATTGACTTTACTCACATGCCCCGAGTCAGGAAACTAAAATATCTCCTAGTCTAGGTAGACACTTTCACTGGATAGGTAGAGGCCTTTCCTACAGGGTCTGAGAAGTCCACCGCGGTCATTTCTTCCCTTCTGTCAGACATAATTCCTCGGTTTGGCCTTCCCACCTCTATACAGTCAGATAGCAGACCGGCCTTTATTAGTCAAATCAGCCAAGCATTTTTTTCAGGCTCTTAGTATTCAGTGAAACCTTTATATCCCTTACGGTCCTCAGTCTTCAGGAAAGGTAGAACAGACTAATAGTCTTTTAAAAACACACCTCACCAAGCTCAGCCACCAACTTAAAAAGGACTGGACAATACTTTTACCACTTTCCCTTCTCAGAATTCAAGCCTGTCCTCAGAATGCTACAAGGTACAGCCCATTTGAGCTCCTGTATAGATGCTCCTTTTTATTAGGCCCCAGTCTCATTCCAGACACCAGACCAACTTGGACGGTGCTCCAAAAAAATTGTCATCCCTACTATCTTCTGTCTAGTCATAATCCTATTCACCGTTCTCAGCTACTCACACATGCCCTGCTTTTGTTTACACTGCCGGTTTATACTGTTTCTCCAAGCCATCACAGCTGATATGGATGCTATCCCCAAACTGCCACTCTTAAGTCTTAAAGTAAATAATCTTTGCTGGCAGGACTATGCTGAACCTCCTTAGGCACTCTCTAATTAGATGTCCTGGGTCCTCCCAATTCTTAGACCTTTAATACCTGTTTTTCTCCTTCTCTTATTCTGTTTAGTTTTTCAATTCATACAAAACTGTATCCAGGCCATCACCAATAATTCTAAATGACAAATGTTTCTTCTAACAACCCCACAATGTCACCCCTTACCACAAAATCTTCCTTCAGCTTAATCTCTCCCACTCTAGGTTCCCACGCCGCCCCTAATCCCACTTGAAGCAGCCCTGAGAAACATCGCCCATTCTCTCTCCATACCACCCCCCAAAAATTTTCGCCGCCCTAACACTTCAACACTATTTTGCTTTATTTTTCTTATTAATATAAGAAGGCAGGAATGTCAGGCCTCTGAGCCCAAGCCAAGCCATCACACCCCCGGTGACTTGCACATATACACCCAGATGGCCTGAAGTAACTGAAGAATCACAAAAGAAGTCAAAATGCCCTGCCCTACCTTAACTGATGACATTCCACCACAAAAGAAGTGAAAATGGCCGGTCCTTGCCTTAAGTGATGACATTACCTTGTAAAAGTCCTTTTCCTGGCTCATTCTGGCTCAAAAAGCTCCCCTACTGAGCACCTTATGACCCCCACTCCTGCCCGCCAGAGAACAACCCCCCTTTTGACTGTAATTTTCCTTTACCTGCCCAAATCCTATAAAACGGCCCCACCCTTAATTCCCTTTGTTTTCTTTTCGGACTCAGCCCACCTGCACCCAGGTGAAATAAACAGCTTTGTTGCTCACACAAAGCCTGTTTGGTGGTCTCTTCACAAGGCGCATGAAACTCCCACCTCAGCCTCCTGAGTAGCTGGGATTACAGGCACCCACCACCACACCTGGCTAATTTTTGTATCTTTAAGAGAGATGGGCAGGGCGCAGTGGCTTACGTCTGTAATCCCTTCACTTTGGGAGGTCAAGGAGGGCGGATCACAAGGTCAGGTGGCCGGAAGCAACTGAAGATCCACAAAAGAAGTGAAAATAGCCTTAACTGATGACATTCCACCATTGTGATTTGTTTCTGCCCCACCCTAACTGATCAATGTACTTTGTAATCTCCCCCACCCGTAAGAAAGTTCTTTGTAATTCTCCTCACCCTTGAGAATGTACTTAGTGAGATCCACCCCCTGCCCACAAAACATTGCTCCTAACTCCACCGCCTATCCCCAAACCTATAAGAACTAATGATAATCCACCACCCTTTGCTGACTCTCTTTTTGGACTCAGTCCCCCTGCACCTAAGTGAAATAAACAGCTTTGTTGCCCACACAAAGCCTGTTTGGTGATCTCTTCACACGGACACGTGAGACAGAGACCAGCCTGGCCAACATGGTGAAACTCCATCTCTACTAAAAATACAAAAATTGGCGGGGTGTGGTAGTGCATGCCTGTAATCCCAGCTACTCAGGAGGCTGAGGCAGGAGAATTACTTGAACCCGGGAGGTGGAGGTTGCAGTGAGCCGAGATGGTGCCACTGCACTCCAGCCTGGGTGACAGAGCGAGATTCTGTCTCAAAAAAAAAAAAAAGAGAGAGAGAGAGAGAGAGAGAGAGATGGGGTTTTACCATGTTGGCCAGGCTGGTCTCAAACTTCTGACCTCAGGTGATGCACCCACCTTGGCCTCCCAAAGTGCTGGGATTACAGGCCTGAGCCACTGCACCCAGCCCATGTTGCTGTTTGATCAATATCTGCCTCTCAGCTAGACTGCCAGCTCCCTGAGGGCCGAGACACTGATTTGTAGGTGCTCAGCAAGTGTCGGTTGAATAAATTAGTGAATTAATTGAGGATTGGAGGGGGTGCCAATAAGCAGGGCAATAGCAGGGGAGGGGGTTCTGGATCCGTTTGGAAAATAAGCTGAAGAATAATGTCAACTTGATTTTAGATGTCTTAATTTCTCAGACTGAGGAGCAGCACAGCTCCCTCCCATGTAGTCCCATAACCAGGAAAGTGCATGGAGGAAAAAGGACACAGACACTTCCCTGGCTGGGGGGCCACAGTGCCTGTGCTCTCCTGTAGCCTGGAACAATTCGCTTTGCCTCATGGTGCCCGGGGCTGCCCCTTGGAAAAAATACAGCCACCCAGTGCAGGGCTGGGACTGGGTGTGGGAAGTGAGGCACATCCTCTGTGCTGGTGGTACAAGTGCAAGTGCAGATTCTGGGGCCTCTCACCTCATCCTCATCCCAGCCTGAACCAGTGTTTGCCTTGCCCATGTCGGGAAGAGATCCCATGATAATTTCAGAGATGCTGAGTTTCCTGGCTTAAAAATTCCTGGTCTCCAGTGCCAGCGTGGTGTGGGAAAACACATGCAGCTCCCCCATCCCCCAAACCTGGGAGAATGACCCTGGTAGGTTCCGCCCCAGGGCACCTGGAGATCTGAGCATGGAGGTCTTCCGGGAGCCTCACTGTACCTGCATGGTCCTGCTTCCACCTGCCTGCCTTGCACTGAGCACTAGAGGCTGAAACAAACATTAGCAGAAAATCCAGATTCTAGAAACAGATGACATGCGCCCTGAGATGACGCCCTAACATGCGCCCTGACACGCGCCCAGGGATGACAGGCATCCTTTTGAAGCATTTACTTGAGAAGAAGTTCAAGTAGGGTTAAGTTATTCCATATAACTATATTCCATATCGCACGTCTCCGTTCCTGCAATGGTAGCGATACTCCATAAATATGTGTTGATGAATGGACAAAACTAAAGGGAGGGAAGAAAGTGGGGGAGAATCTTGAGCTCTGTAGCTTTGGAAGGAGAAAGAATACAGTGGAACCTTTTCTGAAGCTCTCAAGGAACGTGTCCTTGGAAAAATGTGACTCTCCCCCTTCTCCTAGCTTGCTCCCTCATCCTGCAGAAAAGCCGCTCCTCCCTCTTCCATGGCAGAATGGTATTGGCAGGGGAAACCTAATGTGCTAGGCAGAGCTGGGAATAGAACTCAGTCTCCTGAATTCCATATATTCTCTTTCCACCGATGTCTGCTAAGTGCATCCAGAATTGCTCTGGTGGACGGGGCAGGTCAATGAAAGCAGCAACTTGAGCTCCTTCCAGCAGGTGCCGCCTTGCATCACCTATGATCCCATGTGTCATTCACGTGTATGATTGTATATGATCCTCTGATCCCCTGCCCAGCCCAAGCCTCTAAGCTCCTCCATCTGTCGCAGGAGCCTGGCCTGTGGTCATCAGCAGGATTGTGAATGGATCCGCCCAAACTTGTCCTACTGGAAAGAGAATTCTGGTCTGCTGGACGAGTAGATCCTTTCTTTTCTGTTTAATTATTCATTTGTGCCATTTGATTTAATATTCTTAATGTTAACATAACGCGTATTTGTTGAAAAAATAATATTGGTGGAAACATTGAGGTACAAAAAGGTCAGGAAGAAAAATCCCCCCTCTTCCACCCCCGGAAGCTGTCATGATGATTTCTCACTTTGGCCTACTCTCTTCGTCCCCTTCGCCCTTCATTCTTTTCTTTTCTTTTTTTTTTTTTTTTTGTATTCATGGTTCAACTGATCCCTGTTGACACATGGCACGTTAGCTTTGGGTTGCGAGGGCTCCAGGCATCTCGGCCTCCCAGCTGGTGGCCTGTCATCCTGGGAAAATTTTCAGATTCGGTGCATTTTTAGGCCCAGGAAAAAGGCAACAGCTTTAAAATAAGGCATCAGAATTTGGGACAAACTTTCCGAAGCCTACATGTGAGATTTGAGATGTTTTTCAGGGGCGGCTAAAGACAAAGCTGGTAAGTAGGGTATGTTGAGGTCTATTTTTAGGGAATATGGTGGGCTAAGTTCTTGGGATTAACACTCCTATTGAAACCAACTAAAAATGCTTGATAGAACGTTATTTTTTCTTGAGACAGGGTCTTTTTTTTTTTTTTTTTTTTTTTTTTTTGAGATGGAGTCTCGCTCTGTCACCCAGGCTGGAGTGCAGTGGCGCGATCTCGGCTCACTGCAAGCTCCACCTCCCAGGTTCTCGCCATTCTCCTGCCTCAACCTCCCGAGTAGCTGGGACTACAGGCGCCCGCCACCACGCCCCGCTAATTTTTTTGTATTTTTTTAAGTGGAGACGGGGTTTCACCATGTTAGCCAGGATGGTCTCAATCTCCTGACCTCGTGATCCGCCCTCCTCGGCCTCCCAAAGTGCTGGGATTACAGGCTTGAGCCACCGCGTCCGGCTGAGACAGGATCTTATTCTGCTGCCCAGGCTGGAGTGAAGTGGTGCAATCTCGGCTCACTGCAGCCTCCACCTCCCAGGCTCAAATGACTCTCCCTCCTTAGCTTCCTGAGTAGCTGGGACTTCAGGTGCACGCCATTACCCCTGCTAATTAAAAAAAAAAATTTTTCGGTGGGGTTGGGAGCAAGGGGAGGGAGAGCATTAGGACAAATAGCTAATGCATGCGGTGCTTAAAACCTAGATGACGGGTTGATAGGTGCAGCAAACCATCATGGCACATGTATACCTATGTAACAAACCTGCATGTTCTGCACATGTAAAATGTGCAGAACTTAAAGTAAAATAAAAAATAATATTTTTTTTGTAGAGACAGGGTCTCACTATCTTGCCCAGGCTGGTCTTGAACTCCTGGGCTCAAGTGATCCTCCTGCCTCAGTCTCCCAAAGTGCTGGGATTACAGGCATAAGCCACCATGCCTGGCCTAAGATTTTTTTTAATCTTCTTATGAACACTGAAGAATTAACGGGTGGTAAAGAATTACTAAGCCAGAGTGTGGCATGATGGCATGTGCCTGTAGTGGCAGCTACTCAGGAGGCTGAGGCAGGAGGATCGTTTGAGCCCAGGAGTTCAAGATCAGCCTGGGCAACATAGTGAGACCCTGTCTCTAAAAAATAATAAATAAATAAATATTTTTTTAAAATTCAGACCAAAAAAAGAATTAGCCAAAATTTAAGAAAAGCTGTAAGTGCAAGGATCCTAGAAATAGCTCTTGTCCGGAGAGTGTTTGCTTATTCCAACTACCCTGCACTTGGGGTTTAACAGCTTTGCAAAGCCTGGGGCCTCCTTACAGGAAACTAAGACCCTGAAGGTCTACACCATTGGGTAAGCTTATAGCAGTGAACTATAAGCTAACCCTACCCTACACCTACACTCAGGGAATTTGCAACTTGTCTTGGCACTGAGCGCATGGTCTTGGTATGGAATGCTGATGGTCATGGTATGGGATGGAATGCAAACTTCTAGGAAATGGTAAATATAAACTCAGTTCTCATGTGTAGTTGCAGGACAGATTCATAATTCATATCACCTGGGGGACCAAGCGTCCTAAAGCTTTGAATTTACTTTAACACGGTCTTGGATTAGAAGCGTTTTTCTGGGAGAAGCAAACACAGACCCTCTCTGGGGAGAGTCACCTTTATTCTAAGTGTCCCACAAGTAACTCTTCAAGGACAATGAACGTGGCACATTTAAGTGCACATGGAAACAAGGCAGCAGGAGTAAGAACTAAAGCAGAAATAACAGAAACAAACACAATGATTTCAGCCACTGGGATTATCATATCTATATTATTATTATTATTATTATTATTATTATTATTATTTTGAGACAGAATCTCACTCTGTTGCCCAGGGTGAAGTGCAGTGGCATGATCTTGGCTCACTGCAACCTCTGCCTCCTGGGTTCAAGTGATTCTATTGCCTCAGCCCCCTGAGTAGCTGGGATTACGGGCATGTGACACCACACCCAGCTAATTTTTGTATTTTAGTACAGACGGGGTTTCACCATATTGACCAGGCTGGTCTTGAACTCCTGGCCTCAGGTGATCCACCCGCCTTGGCCTCCCAAAGTGCTGGGATTACAGGCATGAGCCACTGCACCCGGCCTCATATCTGTATTATTAAGAAACTATGCTTGCTCTGTTAAAGAAGTAAAAGATAAAATAACAAATTTTTTCAGGGAACAGAAAACTATAAGAATGTGACCTAGTTGATTTGGAAAATAATAAAACAATTTCTAAAACAAAAAAATTTAATACTCAATTAAATTTAATTTAAATTTAAAATAAATTTTAAATAGAAATTTAAAACTCAATGATATTGGTTAACAGGATATTAAGCAAGTTAAAGGAAGAGTTAGTGAACTGGAAGATCAGCTGGAGGAAATTACCTACAATGCCATTCAAAAAAACCCCCCATAAAAATACAGAAAAGAAGTTGCAAAGTTGTAAAATGTAAGCAGCCTGGGAAACAGCAAGACTTTGTCTCTACATTTTTTTTTTTTTCAGCTGGGTGTGGTGGCACATACCTGTAGTCCCAGCTACTTGGAAGGCTGAAGTGGGAGGATCACTGCACTGAGCTGTGATCATGCCACTGCACTCCAGTCTGGGTGACAGAGCAAGACCCTGTCTCAAAAAAATTATAAAAAATAAAAATTAAATAAAATGTAAAGAATATCAAGAAGTTCTGACACCCTAGTTTTTGCTTACAAAAAATTTTGCTTCTATTAGAAGGCATGTGAAGTAAAATGCACACCTTAAGGGTACAGTCCTGAATTTAACCTGTATATCCCAATCCTTTCTCAAGATATAGAACATTTTCATCACCACCAAAAGTTTCATAATGCTGGTTCTTAATCTCCTTCTCCACTCTCCAGTGGCAACCACAGTTCTAATTTTTTTTCCTAGTTTTGCCTATTCTCAAATTACAGTATATACTGCTCTGTGTAAATTTTCTTTTACTCAGCATGTTCTAGGGATCCATCATGTTGTTTTGTGTATCAACGGTTTGTTCCTTTTTATTGCTATGTAGTATTCATTATAAGCATACACACAGTTTGTTTATTCCTTTTCTTGTTGATGGATACCCAAGCTGTTACCAGTTTCTACTTTTATGAATAAAGCTGCTATTAGCATTCTTGCTCAAGTCTCTTTTTGAACATATGTTTTTATGCTTCATGGGTAAATTCCTAGGGGTGAAATTCTCAGGTATTAGAATAGTTGTATGTTTAGTTTTATAAGAAACTGCCAAATGCCTTTCCAAAGTTGTATCATTTTATATTCCCACTTAACAGAGTATGAGAATTTCAGTTACTCCACATGCTTGCCAATATTTGGTGTTACCAGTCTTTTTAATTTTAGCCATAATCATGGATGCATAGGAGTGTCTGCTATATCTTTTATTTTGAATCTTTCTGATGACATCAAGGGAATGGGCACTGTTCAAAAGGGAATGTCAGGCAGGGTGCAGTGACTCACGCCTGTAATCCCAGCACTTTGGGAGGCTGAGGTGGGTGGATCGCTTGAGGCCAGGAGTTTGAGACCAGCCTGGCCAACATGGCAAAACCCCGTCTCTACTAAAAATACAAAAATTAGATGGGAGTGGTGGCACGAACTTGTAATCCCAGCTACTCAGGAGGCTGAGGCATGAGAGTCACTTGAACCCAGGAGACGGAGGTTGCAGTGAGCCGAGATCATGCCACTGTACTCCAGCCTAGGTGACAGAGTAAGTGAGACTCTGCCTCAAAAAAAAAGAAGTGGGGGGAATGTCCCACAAATACAACGTTACCCAGCATGCTGTTGACATTGTTACAGACAAACAAGTTAAGGGCAATATTCTTGCCAAGATAATAAATGTTGTTATTGAGAATGTTAGGCACACAAGATAAATTCCTAAAACACATTGAACAAAAAAGATCAGTAAAAGAAAGAAGCCAAAGAGAAAGGTACCTATGTTCAACAGAAACACCAGCCTACCTCACCTGGAACAGCACACTTCATGAGAACCAAAGAAGCCTGAGCTGCTGGAACCTATTCTCTATGAAACTGTGGCATAATAGGTGTAAAAAAATTAAGATTTCTGGTTGAAGAAGAGGAGGAGGAGGGAAGGAGAAGAAAGAGGAGGAGGGGGGAGGATGAGAAGAGGAAGAGGAGGAGGAGGGGGAGGATGAGGAGAAGAGGAGGAGGAGGAGGAAGAAGAGAAGAGAAGGAGGAGGAGGAAGAAGAGAAGAGGAGGAGGAGGAAGAAGAGAAGAGGAGGAGGAGGAAGAAGAGAAGAGGAGGAGGAGGAAGAAGAGAAGAGAAGGAGGAGGAAGAGGAGGAGGGGATGAGAGGAGGAGGAGGAGGGGGAGGAGGAAGGCAGCAGTCAGGTGAACACACAGAGATACATTGAAACACACGGGGAAGAAGGCCATGTGGAGACGGAGGCAGAGGTTGGAGTGATGCATCTACAAGCCAAGGAACACCAAGAATTGCTGGCAACCACCAGAAGCTGGGAGAGGCATGGAAAGATTCTCCCTCAGAGCCTTCAGAAGGAACCTATCCTGCCAGCACCAGGATTCTAGGCTCCTGGCCCCCAGAACTGTGAGAATAAACTCCTGTTGTTTGAAGCCACTCATTTTGTGGTACTTTGTTACAGCAGCCAGAAGAACAGAACACAGGCACCAGGCACCGTGTAGGGAATTGGAGAAAATGGGGTGGTAAAGGCAATCCTGATTCTATTCACACCCATGAGAACCACCAATGTCATCTTTCCACCCTTCAAAATTTCCCTTTCCCTCACTCACCATCCCCAGAAATGGTTTAATATCAGGATAAGCCATTAAGAAATTGACAAGGAAGGCAGGGCCAGTCAAGTGCTTGGGGATCCTTCACCCAGTGACAGGCCCACCAGCTTCCTACGTGATATGGATGGCCCTGGGGGAGCCGCCCATGTTCCTGTCTCCCATGAGCTACCCTGCAGTTGCTTCTGCCACCTCACACCCCTTTTGGAAGTCGCAGCCCATGGCCTTCCCTAACAGTGCTCTGGCTGGGAGTGACAAGGATGCAGGTGGACATGGGACCCCCGTGTTCCCAGCATGCCACCTGTCTAACCAAGAAAGCAGGCTTCCTCAGCTTCTTTTTGAGAGCCACAGTGAAGCTCAAAAGCTTGTGGTAGCTCCTCAAAAGCCCTAGGACATAGCGACAGTGGTAAAACGAATACTTTCCAGAGGACATAGCAGGGCAGAAAGGAAATGGAAGGGACAGAAAGGGAGACAAAGAGGAGAGGCAGGCAGGCAGGCTGACCCCATGGGCAGAGCCCATTTCCCTGCAGTCCTTCTAGCTGAGGCACTGCTGGGTGAGGCCATGCCACTTTCTATGTCCCTGGAGCTGGGGAGAGAAGCAGGCCTTCTTGAGCACAATAAGGGATGTGTTTCCTCCATAAGAACGAGGATCTGGAACTCATCCCATCTTGTCAGAAAGCAATACTGTGCAGTGGAGCAGCCTCACAGTCACAACTAACTGCACAGAGTGAGAAACAGCCCAGCACCCACAGAATCCAAACAGTTCACAGTCAGGTGGTGCCCCCACCTCCTCTCCGCCAGCAGCCCCCAGTGTGCTCTGTGGCAAAAAGAGACTCAAGAAGAGCCTAGTATCACAGCCCATGCCTGTAATCCCAGCTACTAGACCAGCCTGGGAAACCTAGTGAAACCCTGTCTTAAAAAAAGGATGGGGGGCGGGGCAGGGGGCAAGCACAGTGGCTCGCACCTGCAATCTCTGCTTTTGAAGGCTGAAGCAGGAGGATCGCTTGAGCCCAGGAGATCAAGGCTGCAGTGAGCTATGACTGGACCACTGCACTCTAGCCTGGGTGAGACAGTGAGACCCTGTCTCTAAAATATAAAAAATAAAAATACATTTTAACAAAAAGAGCCAAGGCATGAGAGGCTAGTCGTGATAAGGATCATGGCAGCAGAATCCTAGGGATGGGACATATCTTGGCCTTTTCTGTACCCTTTGCACATAGAAGCTGAGCAATATGGCCAGGCATGGTGGCTCACGCCTGCAGTCCCAACACTTTGGGAGGCCAAGGTAGGAGGATCAGTTGAGCCCAGGAGTTCAAGATTGTCCTGGGCAACAGAGCAAGACCCCATCTCTACGTAAAATAAAAAAAAATTAGCCAGTGTGGTGGTACATGCTTGTAGTCCTAGCTACTTGGGAGGCTGAGGCAGGAGCATCATTTGAGCCCAGGAGCTTAAGGCTACAGTGAGCTATGATCACATTACTGCACTCCAGCCTGGGCAACAGAGCTAGACTCTGTCTCTAGAAAAATAAAACAAAAAACCAAGAAGCTGGGCAATACAATAGTTCACTAACCCTTTGTACGTTCTGCCACATCTGAGGTGAATGCAATAGACCATGGGACAGATGCAGCAGGAAGGACCTTGATATCCCCAAATTCTAACCTCCAAAGGTTTAAATGAGAGAGCCCAGGGTGTGCCCGAGTCCTGAGACCTTTCATTCTTTTTTCTCAATCCTAGTCCCACGCTTTAATCTGGACACACTGTCTCTTTCCATTTTCTTCTTTCCCCTGTCGTTCTCCTCCTGTACAATAGTAATATAGATTTAGTAGGGAAAAATTTTAGTGGCAACTTAATGAGCTTTTATGAGAAGGAAATAAGTCCAGTTAGAGCCTTGATGAGTCCTGTTTCCACATCTAAGGAAACACGGTAAGCAATAGGTGGGGGGAATCCCTGTGGCCTTCACTTCTCTCACAGCTCTAAATGGATTCTCTGAGAGGGCTTTTCGGTGGGAAGTCTGCTATGGCATATCCCCTCTGCAAGGCCCAGCACAGTGTTGCCACGCAGGGTCTTGGTTCTTGTTACCACAAACACCTGTGTAGCTGCTGAAAATAGTTACTTCTGTCCTCATGTAGTACAAATATTTGTATATGTTCTAGATTGTTTTTAAAGATTCATTCCTGACCACACCACACCACAGAAAAAATCCTCTTTCAGGCCTAATATTGGTAACACAATTTACAAAATACCTGTAGCCACAACCCAATATGAGAGCAGAAAAGATATGGAATACTAATAAAATGCAAGATGCTTGTTTCCTTTTAGAGAAGTGTCAGAAAAGAAATGGCATTTTTGGCCAGGCGTGGTGGCTCATGCCTGTAATCCCAGCACTTTGGGAGGCCGAGGCAGGCAGATCACTTGAGGTCAGGAGTTCAAGACCAGCCTGGCCAACATGGTGAAACCCTGTCTCTACTAAAAATACAAAAATTAGCCAGGTGCGGTGCACACCTGTAATCCCAGCTACCGGGGAGGCTGAGGCAGGAGAATTGTTTGAGCCCAGGAGGCAGAAGTTGCAGTGAGCCGAGATTGAGCCACTGCACTCTAGTCTGGGTGACAATGCGAGACTCCATCTCAAAATAAATAAATAATAAATGATTTTTTTAGATTTCGTGCATTTCCAGTGAAAACATGTAATTTATAATTTTTGCACTTATTTTTGGTAAAACAGTAATGTCAATGATGGGTTTTAAAAATTGGCACTTGACAAAACACTATCACAGTGTATTGAAAACTTCTGTCAGTTCTAAACTATTATGAGTCATTTACAGATTATGATCATAGGAGAAATAGACCTTACATATCTTACTTAAATCCCAATTGATTTAGGGTTCTGGTTCAAAAATCGTTAGCATGACAGTCAGCTAACACATGTAATAGTGATATTTTACCAGGCTGCTGGCTACATGAATGAATTTATTTATTTATTTTTGAAACAGGGTCTCACTGCACCCAGGCTGGATTGCAGTGGCATAATCTTGGCTCACTGCAAGCTCTGCCTCTTGGGGCTCAAGTGATTCTCCCACTTCCGCGTTCCGAGTAGCTGGGACTACAGGTGCACACCACCATGACTAGCTAATTTTTGTATTTTTAGTAGAGGCAGGGTTTCACCACGCTGGACAGGCTGGTCTCGAACTCCTGGCCTCAAGTGATCCGCCCACCTCGGCCTCCCAAAGTGCTGAGATTACAGGTGTGAGCCACTGCATCTGGCCACGAATGAATTATTTAAGCTATGTGTGTGTAGGTTATGTTTGCTCAGATATGCCTTTGCATATTCAATATTACCAATATGTTAGAGTATTATTATATCAGATATGTATATATGTGGTTAGTATTATCAACAAAAGCTGTATACCTCTGAAAGACTAGTATTTAGCCCATTTTTAACCTTCATCCACCCTGAGTGGGACAATACAAGGTTTTCAATGAACATGGTATTATATACTTCTTTTATTAAAATCTTAAATTTTAGCAATATTGTCAACTCTCTTGATATCTGGATTTGACAGTACCATGCCTTTTGAGGCCTCAAAGATTTCTGAAGTTTTTCAATAAGCCAGAAGATGAGGGATTAAACATATGACTACGTGGCATGTAACATAGCTATTTTGTCAATTGCAGCTATAAACTTATTTACAAACGAGTTTATTACTTTGAGTCTGAATCCATTATATTTAGGGGCCACTGCTCTTGAGAAACTTGACTAGGAAACATTAAGCTCCCTTTAAGGAATAGGTATTGCACTCTCCCACAGAAGTTCAAACTGTTGATAAATTTGATGCCTTTAAAACTTGTTTTGGGGGTGAGGGTGTTCCTCCTCCCCTTGCTTACCTCCCCGTCTTCCAGCGTGAGCCTCAGCTTCCCACCCCTCCGACGCTTCTTTGCTGCCCTTCTTTCTGGAGCTCTCACTTGGCCCTCCCTTGCCTCCTTCCCAGGTCCTGCACGAGGGGGTGTTTCTTTCTACCAGCAGCACCTGGTGTGAAGCAAAGGACTTCCCCATTGGAGAGAGGCAGTGACGGTCTTCACTTGCAAATTAAAACTCATTTATTAAGCCTGGACATAGTGGCACAGACCTGTAATCCCAGAACTTTGAGGGGCTGAGGCAGAAGCATTGCTTGTGGCCAGGAGTTCGAGACCAGCCTGGGCAGCATAACAAGACCCTGAGACCCTGTCTCTACAATAAAAATAAAAAACTGGCTGGACGCGGTGGCACATGCGAAAATATTAGCAACTGGGGAGGCTGAGGTGGGAGGACCCCTTGAGCTCAATTAGAGGATACAGTTGGGCTCTGATCACACCACTGCTCTCCACCGTGGGCGACAGGGCGAGACCCTGTCTCTATTAAAAAACAAAAACAAAAACAAAAACAAAATGACTTGTTACATGCAGAACACAACCCCCTCTCAGATCTGGAGATTCAGTAGGGGAACACCATAGGCGGAGCTGAGACGCCCTCTGAGAAACAGCTCTCCAGCCCCAGCACCATGGTCAGCGCCCGCTGCCTGAGGGGACCCAGGGCCACCAGCGGAGGCCGCCCCGGCAGTGCTGGCAACACTCGGGAGCGCTGCGCAGAGGAAGAAAGCTGCCTCGCCACACCCCAGAGGGTCAAGTCAGGCCACCACTAGCTGCCAGTGATCTGGAATGGATCTGATCCACTGCAGAAACCGGCAGGGGAGCATGGGAAGATGTAAGTTTTGTCTTCCAAGGAGCCCATTCATTTGGGGTATCGTGAAAAGTGACTTAAGAGGATGTGGGGGATGGGAATCCCTCTTCCTGCTCCACTCCCGCCCCAAGCAAATAAACACGACCACTTTACGCAGCTTAACAGAATGACTTTAATGCTTCTTCAAGTTTTCCATTTTCTTCCACAGGGCTTTGTTTCGAAAAATAACAAAATGAGGTAATAAGTTAATGTATGTACACGTTATAAACACTGTGTCAGTTTACGATGGCAGCAACGGAAGTTGTTACAAAGAAAGTGACTGCGGGGTGGCTGGAGCTCAGCCGCCCCCCCATTGAGAAGATTCGTCGTCCTGAGAAGTCGCGTGCTGGAGGTGGAGTGTGTCTAGAAGCATTTGCGGTGGACGATGGAAGGGCCGGCCTCGTCGTACTCCTGCTTGGTGATCCACATCTGCTGGAAGGTGGACAGCGAGGCCAGGATGGAGCCGCCGATCCACACCGAGTATTTGCGCTCCGGCGGGGCGATGATCTGCAAGACAGCGCGTGAGGTGGGGAGACCTCACCCTGGAGCCCACCCCGCCGACAGCCCGCGCAGGCCACCACCCACCTTGATCTTCATGGTGCTGGGTGCCAGCGCGGTGATCTCTTTCTGCATGCGGTCAGCGATCCCAGGGTACATCGTGGTGCCCCCCGACATGACGTTGTTGGCATACAGGTCCTTCCTGATGTCGATGTCACACTTCATGATGCTGTTGTAGGTGGTCTCGTGAATGCCCGCCGACTCCATACCTGGGGACCGCGGCGGGGAGCGTGAGCAGAAGCTCGGGGCGCCGGGGGCCGGCGGGGCCTGGGGGCCGGGGCGAGGGCGAGCGGGGCTCACCGATGAAGGAGGGCTGGAAGAGCGTCTCCGGGCAGCGGAAGCGCTCGTTGCCGATGGTGATGACCTGCCCGTCTGGCAGCTCGTAGCTCTTTTCCAGGGAGGAGGAGGAGGCGGCCGTCGCCATCTCGTTCTCGAAGTCCAGGGCCACGTAGCACAGCTTCTCCTTGATGTCGCGCACGATCTCGCGCTCAGCTGCGGAGGGCAGAAGCAGGAGAGGAGCCCTCACTCAGGGGCCGCCGCCGGCCCTCCCGCCCGGGGTGCAGGGGCGCCGCGCACCTGTGGTCACGAAGGAGTAGCCACGCTCAGTGAGGATCTTCATCAGGTAGTCGGTGAGATCGCGGCCCGCCAGGTCCAGGCGCATGATGGCGTGCGGCAGCGCGTAGCCCTCATAAATGGGCACGTTGTGGGTGACGCCGTCGCCGGAGTCCAGCACGATGCCTGTGCGCGCGCGGGAGAGAGTGAGTGGCTGGGGGCGAGGCCGAGGCTAGGCTCTCAGCGCTAGCGGCGGGGGCGGGGGCGGGGGCGGGGGCGGGAGAGGGGACTGGGGGCAGCGGGCACTCACCGGTGGTCCTGCCGGAGGCGTAGAGGGACAGCACGGCCTGGATGGCCACGTACATGGCGGGCACGTTGAAGGTCTCAAACATGATCTGGGTCATCTTCTCGCGGTTGGCCTTGGGATTGAGGGGGGCCTCGGTGAGCAGGGTGGGGTGCTCCTCGGGAGCCACGCGAAGCTCGTTGTAGAAGGTGTGGTGCCAGATCTTCTCCATGTCATCCCAGTTGGTGATGATGCCGTGCTCGATAGGGTACTTCAGGGTCAGGATACCTCTCTTGCTCTGAGCCTCGTCGCCCACGTAGGAATCTTTCTGACCCATACCGACCATGACGCCCTGCAGAGCCGAGACACCACGCACCCGTTAACGCCGCTCCGGGTGGCACCAGGCTGGCTTACGCGGGGACCCCGAGCCGGCTCCCTCTGCGGAGGGGCAGCCTGACCTGGTGTCGGGGGCGGCCCACGATGGACGGGAACACGGCCCTAGGGGCGTCATCCCCGGCGAAGCCGGCTTTCACCAGGCCGGAGCCATTGTCGCACACGAGGGCGGTGGTCTCGTCTTCGTCGCACATTGTGTCTAGTTTCTGCAAGGACAGGGAGACCGCGAAGAGGCGCGGTGCATCAGCGCAGAAGTCTCAGCGGCAGGGGGGGGTAAGCCTGGCTGGCCCCGACGTCCTCCCTCCCCAGGAACCTAGGGACATCTCCTGCCGGAGCCACTCAAATTCTGCCAGGGCGGCGACCAGGGGTTCTCTTCTCGACCTTTGCCCCGGCTAAGGGCTGCCCTGAACCAGGAAAAGGGGCACAGGGTCGCGAGACCCCACTGAGAAGTCCTCTGTCCACATAGCCAGGGGAACATGTTCCCCAAGACCTGTCTGCCCTCCCTGCCTGACACCTGTTCCAGGAGCTGGACGCTAGTGCCCATCCTCTCTGCGCCTCCCTGACCACATCTGTCACCTAGGGAGATAAGGCCTCAGCACTGCCTGCTTGCTGGGCCAGCGTGAGGGTGGAAGGAGATGCCCATGGGAAAGGCGTTGGCACCCCATCCAGGGAAGAGTGGCCTGTTAGGAACCCTGTGACATTTCAAACTCAGAAAGGGCCTTTTCGCCTGTTGGAAACCCAGAATGGGTGGTCCTGGCTGCTCGCTCATTCGCTCTAGCGCTAGTTTGGAAGGGAACTGCCTTGGCGACAACTAAAGCAAAACCGTTTATCTCCCTAGGCACATCCTACATGCCAGGTAAAGGAGCCCAAAGGGGCTAGAGAAAAATTTGGAGAAGTCTAATTTCCAGAGGCTGACTGTCTTGCCTCCTTTTTAAAGCGCGTGTGGCTCCGGAGACGAGGCACAGCGCTCAGGGCGCAGGCCTGGGGCTGACCAGGTGAACCGACTGGGTTCTGCCCCGGAGTCCTTCAGGTTCCCCTCGGTAGTGCCCTGTCCCCCTGTCCCCTCCCAACTCCTGCCCTACCTGGGCGGGTAGCTACAACTGCTACTCTCGGCTCGGGCCCTGGTCGCCGCGGAGGGGAAGCGAGGCTTCACTTGGCGCTGTCCGCTGCGGTGGCCGCTTGTCCCTCTGCTCAGGTTTTATATAGCCCGCGGGCATTCCCTCCGCGCCACCCCGCAGGAATGTCGCTGCCCTTCTCGAGCCATATTTGGGTGTTGGGCACTAGAGCCCCCTCCCTCGGCCGGTTCGCGGCCTGGGCCCCCGCCCGGGTCCCCTGCGTTGACCAAAGAAGGAGCGGGTTGGCCCGGTCCCAGGTAACGCGGGCCGGGCCGTATATGGAGTGTCTCCCTAGCGGGTTTGCCCCTCCTGACCCGACCCAGTTGCCCGCCGGAGGGGATGGGGTGGGGCGAGGGTCACCGCGTTCGCCGGTGGGTGCATGTGTGCGCCTGCGCTCCGGGAACCGCACCTGTCCCAAAGGCCTCCCCAACCATGTCCACTCTGAGCGCCCTGGGCGCTCGGGAAGGTGCCTGACTGCTGACTTCCAATATTTCAACTCCTCTTCGGGTTCTTTGCTCAGATCCCCAAACTCCCACTTGCGACTACCGGGAAGAGGGAGTCGTGTGGAGTGGTGGGCTTGGGAGGATTGGAGAAGCAGTCACTCCTGAGTCTCAGGAAGGGAAGGAAGGCGAACTCCCTCTCCTTTACGCCCCTGGAACTCCATTTCTCTCTTCCCACCCCCGAGCTCCCTGAATCCAAAAAGCTGAGCCACGTCGACCCCTTCCCCCACCGCACAGAGGGCCACCGGCGGCCGGAGGGCGCGCAGCTGTCGCAGGATAGACAACTGGCGGGGGGAGGCGAGGGCGGAGCGCCGGGGAGGAGGCGCGGGGGCTCCCGGGGATAGGCCTGTCAGGCGCAAAGCCTGAGCACACGGAGCTGTCCGCCTCAGGGACGCGCAGCGCCCTTGGGTCTCCTAAAGGGATTGAAGGGGTGAGGGTTCCCCTCCTGTAGGACGCACTGGCCCCAGGTTTTGGTGGGCTGAGGCCCTCCCCCAGCCTCTTTGGTGGCACTATGTGTGTCCCTCTCCTGGGGCTGAAAGACAAGGGTCACAACCCAGGACTGGCTAGACCTGGAGTGGAGGTGGAGATGGGTGAGGGGCTCTTCCTAGATGAGGCTTAGCTGGTCCTTCCTCCCAATAAATTGGAGGGGGTGGGGGGACAAGGACGCGGCACTCTAGGATGGGTGGCAGTTTTTCCTTCTGCAAAGGCTGAACAAACTCATCTTTATATTTAGAGGATGATGCCTGCCAAGGCCGGGCTGCCTCCCAGTCCACCTTGTAGTCATCATTTACCAGAGCCTGCTGCAGGTTCTATTTATATCACTGATATATGGGGCTATGCCTTTCAGATTTTCTAGAAGGATTTGGAGCTACTTATGGTAAAGTAGAGTGGGGGTCAGCAGAGGTTACCCAGTTGGTGCCTGTCCCTCTCTCTCTCTCTCTCTCTCTCTCTCTCTCTCTCTCTCTCTCTCTCTCTCCTTTTTCCCTAAGACAAGGACAGTTCTAACCTTGTGGAGGGCACAGGAGGAGCAGTCTTCTGTGATGAACTCAGGGACATGCTTTAAGGGGGTACATCAGTGATGTGGTGTGGGCCAGAACAGAATCACTCATTTTTCGGATGTGCTTAAGTGCTCCTAAAATAGTTGCAATTCACTTTTGGTAGTGGAACCCAGCAACTGGGACAGGTGTGGATTCTCTAAAAGGGGGATGGAAGCATATGCGACCCTCCTCTGTAGCCCACATCATGGCAGTTCATCCCAAAAATAAACAAGTATTAACAAAAATGTTCTAGTGAATAAAATGCTACCTTCCTAAAAATGATCAATTAAAAAATAAGGAGTTTGACTAGTATAGGGACTATGCGGTGAGGATAAAGTCTCCTATGGTTCCATATTTAGTTCTTCCAAGTATTTTGGAGAGTAAGTGAATAATTGACAGAACTGTATTTCCTTTTTAACATCCTGTGTCCTCCTGTGTCAGCGAGTAGTGGAGATACTAGAAAAAAACCACTTAGCAAATGAGCTGCATGTAACGTAAGGGGACTAGCTTACATTTGGGCCTTGAAGGTAGGAAATTTGCTGCCGTTCACTGGATACCTCAATATTTGTGCGCATTCCAAAGGAGAATGGGATTGTCACTATTTTTCAAAACTCTTGCTCAGTTCAACTCTTACCTTTCCTTACAGAAAGCTTTTCTAAGCTCAGTCTGTTACATTCAAACCCACACTAAAAGCTGACCATGATTAAAAACACTCACAAGCGAACAGAGACCTGCTAGTACAGCAAACTGTGGGAGATGGCCCCTGAGGTGGCCAGCCAGGCATCTGTTCCCTGCCCACATGATTTGCGGCTGGTTTAAATAGTCCCTGACAGGTCACCACAGGCCACCCTCAGTCCCATTCTGGTCTTGTTGCATTCTCATTGGCTTAGAGAATAGACTGAATGGTGGGTGGCAGAGCCACGTCTCCATACATGTATGTTTTGGGGGAGCGCAGCGGCGCCCTGCTCCGCCTTTTGAGAACTGTCACTAAGTAAAGGTCAGCCATGTAGGGTATGCTTGACAGGGAGTTCCTGCTTCTAAGTTTTCAGGTGCAGCCTCAGCTCTTCATACCCTGACCGGGCCCTTCTGCTACCACTACCCCGGTGTGTTCACACTTCCCTTCTCTCCAATTGTGCCCCTCAACACTCCACACACCCGTACCCCAATCTTGCTCAGTTCCAGTCTTCCTACTGTGTTTCCTATCAATTTAAACAGGAATTGGTAAAACACTTTATAATATGCTTTCGTGTTTCAATTAACCGTTTAACTATCCTAAGGTAAATAAGATAGGTATTACTCATTCCAGTTTTTTTTCTTTTTTAAAGAAAACTGAGGCTTAATGAGCTAAAACACACCCCAGGTTCCACAGCAGCCAGTGGAGGAGACGGGCTTGGGCTGTCCTTCCTTCTACTGCCAGTGGCCAGGGAGGGCAAGGACTGCTGCTTCTCTCTAATCCTCACCAACACTGGGTACAGTTCGAAACAGAACAGGCCCTTGAGGGATCTTTCCCAGTAATGAGCCAAAGACATCCTGACATGAAAAGCCGTAGCTTCCCCAGAAACTCAGCTTTGAGGGGCTGGCTGGGCACTCCAAGTTAGAGATATTCCAGGAACAGGGTAGACAAAGACCAACTCATTCTCACAAGCTACTTAAAAACGTCGGGTCGGCCAGGCGCGGTGGCCCATGCCTGTAATCCCAGCACTTTGGGAAGCCGAGGCTGGTGGATCACTTGAGGTCAGGAGTTCAAGACCAGCCTGGCCAACATGGTGAAACCCCGTCTCTACTAAAAACACAAAAATTAGCCAGGCGTGGTGGTGCACACCTATAATCCCAGCTACTCGGGAGGCTGAGACAGGAGAATCACTTGAACCTGGGAGGCAGAGGTTGCAGTGAGCCGAGATCCCACCACTGCACGCCAGGCCTGGGCAACAGAGAGAGACTCCATCTCAAAAAAAAAAAAAAAAAAAAAGTTGAGTCAACTCCTGGCAGCCCAAAGAAAGGGCTTGGGCTTGGATTTTCTACTTTTTCCTCCTCCTGAAGCTGGTGGTTTTTGCACTCATGGCCACCTCTAAGAACCTGATGATTCATTGGAGCAGTGCCCTCTCTTCAACATTCTTTATACCCAGAATATCATGAACTGGTTAGGAGCTTGCATTCTGGAATCAAGCAGAGCTGCATTTACCTTCCCCTCTGACTGGCTATGTGATCTTGGACAAGTGACTTTCCAGAAAGCATTCTCAACTCACAATACTCCTTAAGACTGATCTGAGGATTAAAACCAGGTGAGAGCTGAGTGCGGTGGCTCACGTCTGTAATCCCAGCACTTTGGGAGGCCCAGGTGGACAGATCACTTGAGGTCAGGAGTTCAACACCAGCCTGGCCAACATGGTGAAACCTGGTCTCTACTAAAAATACAAAAAAATTAGCTGGGCATGGTGGCGGGTGCCTGTAATCCCAGCTACTAGGGAGGCTGAGGCAGGAGAATCTCTTGAACCCAAGAGACAGGCTGCAGTGAGCTGAGATTGCGCTACTGCACTCCAGCCTAGGAACAGAGCAAGACTCCGTCTCAAAAAACCAAAACCAAAACCAAAAACAAAACAACAAACTAGGTGAGTACCTAAGACATATGAAACATTCAGCACATGGTGCCATGTCTTGCTTCCAATGACTAAGGGCTTGGGGCAGGTGCACACAGTGCAGTGGCAGAAAAGGTGAGAAAAGAACATTAAAGTCATTGGCCTGCTCAGTATACACACATCAATGTCACTGCAACTGAGCAAGGAGAGTCAATGTCATGTTCACCGTATTTGGAGGGCATAAAGATTTTTGTACAAAGATTTATTCTAGCATTATTTAAAATGGTCAAAAAAATGTGTCTTTTGAGAGAGAGCTACAGCAAGAGAATAAGGGCTGTTACATTAATTATGGTTCTGCCATATGGTAAAGTATCACGCATTTAAAACATTGTATTCTAAATAATAATTAAGATGGGCATTCTCAAAGGGGGAAAACTTGGTTCTTAGAGAGTGAAAAAAATTCAGATAGTACAATGGTTTATGGCTTCCAAAGGCCACAGTACATTTAAAAGATAGTCGGCCAAGTGTGGTGGCTCACGCCTATAATCCCAGCACTTTGGGAGGCCGAGGCAGGCAGATCACCTGAGGTCAGGAGTTCTAGACCAGCCTGGCCAACATGGTGAAACCCTGTCTCTATTAAAAATACAAAAATTAGCCAGGCATGATGGCGGGTGCCTGTAATCCCAGCTACTCGGGAGGCTGAGGCAGGAGAATTGCTTGAACCCAGGAGGCAGAGGTTGCAGCGAGCCAAGATCGCGCCACTGCACTCCAGCCTGGGTGACAGAGCAAGACTCCATTTCCAAATGAATGAATGAATGAATGAATGAATGAATGAATGATATATAGTAGGTCTGTGGTATTACACTTTCTTTGGAGTGGGAGGTGATTAGGAAAAACTGTCTAAAAAGGCTCCTCAGGAGGGGTGATAAAAAAAAAAAGGTCAAGAAACACTGGATTAAGGATACAGCAAAATGCTCACATCTCCCATGAGAAAAGTAGGTTACAAAATGAAAAAGCATATGCAGTCCAAAAGTCTATTTCATAATGGTGACTAATTATTTCCAGCTGGTGGGATTACAGAGGTCTATTTTCTTTTTCATTTTCTACAGTGTTTTTCTTAAAATTTAGAATTACATAATATTATTTGAGACAGGGTCTTAATCTGTCACCCAGGCTGGAGTGCAGTGGTGTGATCATGGCTCACTGTAGTCACAAACTCCTGGGCTCAAGCAATCCTCCCAACTCAGCCTCACAAGTAGCTAGGACTACAGGCACACATAACCATGCCTGGCTAATTTTTGTAATTTTTTTTGTACAGACAGGGTCTTGCTGTGTTGCCCAGGCTGGTTGTGAATTCCTCAGCTCAAACGATTCTCCCATCTTGGTCACCCAAAGTGCTAGGATTACAGGTGTGAGCCACCATACCTGACCCAGTATTATTTTTTTTAAATGTATCTTGGTTTTTAATGAGTGGATTTGTTTACACGGGTGTGTGTGTGTGTATATATATATATATATATATATTTTTTTTTTTTTTTTCACGCATCCTCAGGATAAAATGTCAGGAACAGGCTACACTGCTTTTGTAGTTAGCCTCAAAATGTCCAGGTGTGTAGGATGTAGGTGGGTGATGGTAGGAAAACTACGATTCAGCCCCTAAAGTAAAAAAAGAAACACAGTTCAATCATTAAAAATGAAAGCCCTCAAAGAGAGGCGTCAGTAGCCTTTACCTCACTCAGGAGTTCAGCAAGTTTTTACTGTCTATCTCCAGGTCTGCTGCAATCCTTGACACCATTCTGTCCACAAATCCTCCAGACGCGCCAGTCTCCATGCCTGCGTACACTCCCCTCTGCTCAGGATCGCACACGACACTTTACTCTTGTATTCTGTCAAGGTCCCAAGCTGGGACTCTCAGGGCAGCACTTATAGACAGGTGTGATCACGAACCTTTTCCAAGTCAGTAAAGTATCTCTTTCCACAGAAATGTCAACACAGCATCTGTATACTTATCAGCTACTTGATTTATATAAAAACCATTAATAACTCGTTGATGAAGACTACGTTGTGAAACCAATTTTTAAAATTCTAGAGAAAAAATTATTCAAAATCCTAGGTCTTAATTTCATTTTTACTGTTAAAATAATTTTTAAAAACTCAACCATTTGGGTGTAATAGCTACTAACTTAGAGAGAAACAGGATTAAAAGAGGGAGCTTTTTCTTCCCTTGAACAGGATGACTCTACTTCACACGGTAAGAGCAGTCGTTCTACGTCCACGCGATCAGTGGGTTCTGGGGCATGATCAGATGGGCTTTCCTGCGGTACTGTCCCATACACCAGGGATCACCAGGTTTGCAGCAGCACGGGAGGGAGATGGGAGCCTGTGTGTCTCGCAGCACATTATCACCCGACAGGGTCCTACAGGTGAGACGTGAACACTGACAGCTGACCTCCACGTAAAAGCAAAGCCTCATCTTACGATACAAGTACTCAGCGGTTTCTTACTGGCCATCTGACAAGCTGCTCTTCCTAACTTCTCTTAGTACCTTCCAACATGTTCCTAACCCAGACCCTAATGCTGTCCTAACATACAAGCTGCAAAGAGAAAAAGAACAGGCTGCTAATTTCTTCCCTTTGATTTACAAACAGCTCCATTAACCTGCTCTTCCAAACATACTCAAGGGCTGGCCTTGCAGCCTGCGGGGGAGACGGCCTGATGCTGGGCTCTGTGAATCCAGGAACCGGACTCTTCACCATGTTTAACTTCTGACCTTTTCAGCTGCTGGAGCAAGATGGTTAGTGGGCATTCTACTGGGCCAAGCCGCGGACATGCCAGCAACTCCCTGTCCAACCTCTGGCCTTTATTTAAAACCCAGATAAACATTGAGTGAGTGATGACACTGGTCAGGACAAAGCTCTGAGAGTACAGTACCTTTCAGTCACATCAATTGCCATATTAGGAAAACCTATAATGGTTTCTAGTATCATTCATGCTTTTGACTAGCTAGGCAGACTGTGGTAAAGATTCATGAGTCATTCTGAAAATACATGAGGCTGGCTGAATCCCCACACTGAAAGATTAGAACTAAACATCAACAGTAATTTCTAGATAGGTTAGAAAACCACATAAACGTTTCATTCACTAAAATACTTTCATTAGTGCTCATTTATTATTTATGTAGAAAAGTTTAAAATGCTCCCAATGAGTTCATCAGTTATCAAGCTCACATGAGTTAGGCCCACTCTCCTTTGGTTTTTCATCTCATAATAAGTCAGCAAAAGTTGACATTTATCTTACTAGACATTTCCCATTAGCCCTAACTGAAACAGATATCAAACACCCTAGATTCTCTTCAGTGCAAAGTATCTGGAGTCACAGCAATTTTAGAGACAAGCTAGTGCAATCTAGTAATTTTCATAGTCGCAGAAACTGAGGCCTAGAAGTGATTTGTACATGTGAGCAGCTAGAACCAGGACAAGAACTCCAGAACCTGGGACCACGTGAGAGTAAAAAGAAAGGGCACCGAGTACAGGAACAACAACTGACACATTTCAGGTGGAAAAAACAAGTCACATAACTGAAAACCAAAATCACAGTTACATAACTATTTTATATTAGCTTCCTACATATAAAGTATAAAAACTCAGCTATACATGTTATGAAATTGTACAAACTTACACTTGTTTATGGCCTAAAATTTGTATAAGGACACACTTATACAGATTTCATAAACAATGGCCATTTTTAGAAAAAGTTATATTTGTCCCTGAACATAATATTCATAATTTGCTTTCAAAACAAACTCGAAGTAAGGATTGGACTTTAAGCTTCCAAGCTGATCCGCTTGTAGCAGGTCTTTCACCTCCGGTAAGTACTCACTGAGCTGAATGCCTATAAACACAAACACAAGAAGTCATTTTTCAATTATTATAAAATGCTCAAATGAATTCTGATGATTGATGACAAAAGCACCTGTGCTTCTATTTAAATATAACGTCACTTTGCTGTTGGGAAATACTCTCTTCTAAATTCCTTCCATCTGTCAAACATACTTTCAAGTCTAACAATGTGATATCCTTTACAGGGGCTGCCTGAGTGTTTTTCCCTCCAGTGGTCAAAATAGCCATTCTATTTAAAGTGTTTAATAAGATCTGAAACGTTTTCATGTATTCCCAAGCTTGAAAACAAGTATTTCAAACACTTATATGATCCCCTATTTAGGGAATAATTTAGTAGAAACACTGTTATGAACGCTAGCTACAGGATCTCAAAATGTGTTTACAGTATAAATCTAAAATTAGATAGGCAAAAGAATCATTTCTTCACAAGTCATCCATAGAGCTGAAAAGACAGTGAACATGAACTAAATGGATTGTTTGACATCTGTGTAGTTACAAACAAACATACACAATTTTCTCATTTGACAAATAGAGAAAACTGGATGAAAATTTTCAAATTAATAAGCCAATAATATTTTTATAATTTGTTACATTACCATAAGATTCTCAAAATCAGATACTGGTTTAAAAAAAAAACTCAAAGGGCCTTGCATCATTTTTTGGTTCTTTTTTTTTTTTTTTTTCAGGCGGAGTCTCACTCTGCTGGCCAGGCAATGGCGCGATCTCGGCTCACAGCAACCTCTGCCTTCTGGGTTCAAGCGATTCTCCTGCCTCAGCCACCCCGGTAACTAGGATTACAGGTGCCCACCACTACACCCGGCTAATTTTTTGTATTTTTAGTAGAAATGGTGTTTCACCATGTTGGCCAGGCTGGTCTTGAACTCCTGACTTCAAGTGATCCACCCACCTCAGTCTCCTAAAGTGTTGGGATTACAGGCATGAGCCACTGTGCCCAGCCTATTTTTTGGTTCTTAATTGTAGTTTTTATTTTTTATTGAGACAGGGTCTCCACTCTGTCACCCAGGCTGGAGTGGAATGGTACGATCGTAGCTCACTGTAGCTTCAATCCTTTGACCTTTCGAGCTCAAGTGATCCTCCCACCTCAGCTTCCTGAGTAGCAGGGACTATAGGCATGCACCACGAAGCCTAGCTAATTTTTTTTTTTTTTTCTGTAGAGGTGGGGGTCTTGCTATGTGGCCCAGGCTGGTCTTGAACTCCTGAGCTCAAGGGATTCTCCTGCCTCGGCCTCCCAAAGTGCTGGGATTACAGGCGTGAGCTACCGTGCCTGGCAAAATAAGACTTTTATAACACCATTCTCAACTATTAAATGTTGGTGACTAACTAGAAAAAAATTTAAACTCCATTTAATGAGACATGCATTTTGTTCTGTATGTATAATGTATTTCAGGTAACATGTAAAAACAAACCTTGTGGGTAATTTAAATATGTCTGCAGGAAGAATGCACAGGCTGAAGTAGCTGTTGCACTGTCAATGCCTATGAAATATAATGCAAGGTTATCTGTATCTCCCTACCTTCAGAATCTGTCCTTTAAAAACACTATTGTACATGAAAGCCATATTAAGAAGGTTCCAAAAGTACATTTGTCCTGTTATTAAAAAACCGCACGCCTTATATATGTAAAATATACATATATAATACACACACATATATAATTTTTTTTTTTTTTTTTTTTTTTGAGACGGAGTCTCGCTCTGTCACCCAGGCTGAAGTGCAGTGGCACCATCAGAACTCACTGCAGCCTTCACCTCCTGGGCTCAAGCAATCCTCCTACCTCAGCCTCCCCAGTAGCTGGAAACACAGGCATGCACCCCTGTGCTCAACTCTTTTTTTTTTTTTTTTTTTTTTTTAAAATAGGGACAGGATCTCCCTATGTTGCTCCAGCTGGTCTTGAACTACTGGGCTCAAGTGATTCTCCCACCTTGGCCTCCCAAAGTGTGAGCCACTGCACCTGCCTATATTTTTATTTAAATAAAAGTTTCAGCTGGGCGTGGTGGCTCATGCCTGTAATCCCAGCAATTTGGGAGGCTGAGGCGGGCAGATCACGAGGTCAGGAGTTCGAGGCCAGCCTGACCAACATGGTGAAACCCTGTCTCTACTAAAAATACAAAAATTAGCCAGACATGGTGGTGCGTGCCTGTAATCCCAGCTACTCAGGAGGCTGAGGCAGGAGAATCACTTGAACCCAGGAGGTGGAGGTTGTAGTAAGCTGAGATTGAGCCACTGCACTCCAGCCTGGGCAACAGAATGAGACTCCGTCTCAAAAAAAAGAAAAAAAAAAGTTTCCACTGTTCTTGTCCTTTATGAAATTATGACTTTCCATTCCTGTTTTTCACCTGTTTTATAATCCACTAAGAATAACAAAAACTGCAAAGCTGCCCTTAAATATTAGTGCTAGATACTTAATTAGACACAATTCAGTCTGTGGCATTTTTACAGCTATGAAAGGAAGCTACAAATCTGAATACTAATGCTTGGAGATCAGTGTGGACAGACTCCAAATGAAAGCTTCTTGGTTCTTTTTTTTTTTTCTTTAGACAGAGGCCAAGGCAGGTGGATCATGAGGTCAGGAGTTCGAGACCAGCCTGGCCAATATGGTGAAACCCTGCTTTTACTAAAAATACAAAAATTAGCCAGGCATGGTAGCACAGGTCTGTAGTTCCAGCTACTCCAGGGGCTGAGGCAGAAGAATTGCTTGAACCCGGGAGGTGGAGGCTGCACTGAGCCGAGATCATACCACTGCACTCCAGCCTGAGTGACAGAGCAAGACTCCGTCTCAAAAAAAAACCCAAAAAACTGAGGAATGACACTGTAATTTCCAACGGTATAGTAACAAACCACTTACCATCTTTTAAAAGTTTCTGTAAGATCTTCACAAATATACTGTCTTTAGATACTTCAATTGGATCATCTTTGCCATCAGAACTGGACCAGCTAGAAAACAAAATCATTATGAGGGAAAAATGAAATCACTGATATAGCTGAATTAAATGATTTGTTTGCTATCATGGTTTTATTTTGATGGCTGTGGGGGATGGAGAATCTGAGTTTTGTGATACTGTTTCAAATCATTTAAATAAAGGCACTTTACATGCTGAATACCCTGACAGTTTCTACATTAGATATAAGACATTACACTCTAGGGAACATGCAAGAGACGCCAAGGAAAACACATTTAAAAAAAGATGTTATACTCAAGGTAGCTACTGACTCAATATAACTCTTACCTATTTGATTTCAGAAACCAAGTAGTGAGGTATCTTTCTGAAGAAAATTCTATTAGTAAGTAACATATTCAGTATGGACCCCAAAGTATGACTCACTGCAGCTTCGAACTCCTCCAGCTCAAGTGTTCCTCCCACCTCAGCCTCCCGAGTAGCTAGGACCATAGGCATGCAACCACTTTGTGCCTGGCTAATTTTTTACTTTTGTGTAGAGACAAAGTCTCGCTATGTTCCCAGGCTGGTCTTGAACTCCTGGGGTCCAGCAATCCTCCTGTCTTGGCCTCCCAAAGTGCTGGGATTGCAGGCATGAGCCACTGGACCCAGCCAGAAGCTTTCTTTATGTAGTTGTGACTATCTACTACTAAAATAAAAATACCAAACCACTGCTCTGTAATCAATGGACATGATAACTTTAAAATTTTTAAACAAGAAACTAAGACAAGGAATTCTAATCAAAATGATAGCATCCTTTTGTATGACTGGGATGGGACCAAACAATCAAGTAGGCAGAAAGCTAGAAGCTTCAGGGACTGACCTCTAAGACTAAACTTAACAGCAATTTTAACTATTTTGGAATGATCAGAGGAGGGAAGAAATGCTTTAGTAAAAATAGCTCTTCTATAATATTTTACCACAGGAAAAAGGAAAATTGTGAGTAGGAGAAGGCTTTTAGCAGTCAATTCATGCTTTGTTTAAAATTCTTTTCCTGGAAAGAATTTGTTCCTTCAACTGATTATTCTTAGTCTTTGTCATTGAATCGTAACATAAACACCATTTCCATAGGTGGAAGTCCTCCTCTGCAGAAAGGATATGATTGTGAGAAAGTAGTACTTGCCAGGCGCGGTGGCTCATGTCTGTAATCCCAGCACTTTGGGAGGCCGAGGCAGACAGATCACCTGAGGTTGGGAGTTTGAGACCAGCCTGACCAACATGGAGAAACCCGGTCTCTACTAAAAATACAAAAAAATTAGCTGGGCGTGGTGGCGCATGCCTGTAATCCCAGCTACTTGGGAGACTGAGGTAGGAGAATCGCTTGAACTTGGGAGGCGGAGGTTGCGGCGAGCCGAGATTGAGCCACTGCACTCCAGCCTAGGTGACAGAGTGAGGCTCTGTCTCAAAAACAAAAAACAAAACGAACAAACAAAAAAAAGAGAAAGTAGTACTTAATGCCTTAGAAAAGGGCACTGACCCTCAAATTGTAGTAACTTAAAAAACAAAATAGGCCAGAAGATCGAGAACATCCTGGCTAACAAAGTGAAACCCCATCTCTACTAAAAATACATTAAAAAAAATTAGCTGGGTGTGGTGGCAGGCACCTGTAGTCCCAACTAATCGGGAGGCTGAGGCGGGAGAATGGCATGAACCCGAGAGGTGGAGCTTGCAGTGAGCCAAGATTGTGCCACTGCACTCCAGCCTGGGCAACACAGCCAGACTCCATCTCAAAAAAAAAATTTTTTTTTAATAAAAAATAAAAATAAATAAATAAAACAAAATCATAGCTTCGAGTCTCGTTTGGCATGACAAGCCTCACTTCTGCAAAAATAAGGGATGTGGCCGGGCATGGTGGCTCACGTCTGTAATCCTAGCACTTTGGGAGGCCGAGGCAGGCAGATCACAAGGTCAGGAGTTCGAGACCAGCCTGACCAACATGAAGAAACCCTGTCTCTACTAAAAATACAAAATTAGCCAGGCGTGGTGGTACACGCCTGCAATCCCAGCTACTCGGGAGGTTGAAGCAGGAGAATCACTTGAATCCGGGAGGCGGAGGTTGTGGTGAGCCGAGACTGTGCCATTGCACTCCAGCCTGGGCAACAAGAGTGAAACTCCATCACAAAAAAAGAAAGAAAATAAGGGATGTGTATTTCTATGCAAACTGACAACCTAAATTTTAAAATCAAAAGTAGTGATTTATTATATGAGTGGTCCTAAGTCTTTAGGCTATTCTTGCTATTCTTAACTATTAAAATAGAGAAGACCAAGACTAAATAAATATTACTAATGTAACCATTAAAATTTTCATAATATGTATGTTACAATATGGTTAGAAGGTTATAAAACCATTTGACATATAATATCATAATCTTCCTGTAATACTGTGAAATATGTATTTGGTCTTCTTCTTCACCCCACTTCCTGCTTTGCAACTCCTAAAATCCTTAGGATCTCCATAGATGTCTTTTTTTTTTTTTAATACTATTGAGTTGGCTGACAGCTGGCAGCCCCCAGCTAGCTTCAGGATAGGGGCTGGTCACCAGAAAAAGCATAATTAGAGTTGGGACTTTTCAGCCCTGTTCCTCAATATCCAGGGAGGGAAGAGGGGCTGAAGGTTAAATTGGTCACCAACTTTAATCAATCATGTCTACATAACGAAGCTTCCATAAAAACACAAAACGACAGGGTTTGAAGAGCTTCCTGATAGCTGACACGTGGAGGTTCCTGGAAGGTGGAGGGCCAGAGAGGCTTTGGAAGTTCCAAGCCCCTTCCCCTATACCTCACCCCATGATCTCCTCATCTGTATTCTATGTGATACTTTCAGATGCGTTAGAATCAGCATTCCCAGGAGGTTAGGAATTCTTAGTCACAGGATGAGACAGGAGGTCAGCAGGACTGGTATCACAAGACACAGGTCACAGTGACCCCACTGATAAGACAGGATGTGGTAAAGAAGCCAGCCAAAACCCGCCAAAACCCGCCAAAACCAAGAGAGTGGTCTCTAGTCGTCCTCGCTGCTCATTATACACTAATTACAAAGCATTAGCATGCTAAAAGACACTCCCACCAGCACCACAATAGTTTACAAAGACTGTGGCAACCAACGTTGGGAAGTTACCTTATATAGTCTAAAAACGGGAGGAGCCGGGCGTGGTGGCTCACGCCTGTAATCCCAGCATTTTGGGAGGCTGAGGTGGGCAGATCACCTGAGGTCTGGCGTTCCACAGCAGCCTGACAAACATGGTGAAACCCTATCTCTACTAAAAATACAAAATTAGCCAGGGCTGGTGGTACATGCCTGTAATCCCATTTACTTGGGAGGCTGAGGCAGGAGAATTGCTTGAACCCGGGAGGCAGAGGTTGCAGTGAGTCAAGATCGCACCACTGCACTCCAGGCTGGGCAACAAGAGCTAAACTCTGTCTCAAAATAAAAAAATAAAAAAATAAAAATAAAAAGGGGAGGAACCCTCAGTTCTGGGAACGTCTCATGCCTTTCCAGAAAAACTCATGAATAATGCACCCCTTGTTTAGCACATAATCAACAAATAACCATAAGTATACTCAAGTCAAGCAGCCCACGCCGCTGCTCTGTGTAAGAAGTAGCCATTCTTTTATTTTCTTCTCTAATAAATTTGCTTTCACTTTACTCTGTGGACTTGCCCCAAATTGTTTCTTGCACGAGATCCAAGAAGCCTCTCCTGGGGTCATCGGGACCGCTCTCTGGTAACAACACCCTTTATAATAAATTGGTAGGTGTGTTTTCCTGAGTTCTATGAGCTGCTCTAGCAAATTAATCAAACCCAAGGAGGGGGTTGTGGGAACCCCAATTTATAGCTGGTCGGTGAGGAACACAGGCAAAACCCCCTGGTGCTTAAATTGGCATCAAAGTCAGGGGCAGTCTGAGCCCTCAACCTGTGGTTGTAGATTGTATCAGGACTGAACTAAATTAAAGGACATTCAGCTGGTGCCCACCAACAGAACTCACTGGTTGCCCAGTGTAGGAGGTGGGAAATCCCAACACGTCTGGTCACAGAAGTCTTCTGTTATTGACTGTCATGTGGTGAGAGCAGAGGAAAAGCAGTTTCTATACTTTCCAAAGAAGCAATGCCACGAGCACTTACTTATCTCTCTGAAGAGCTTTGCAAAGGATTTCCAGTTTTAGATCATTTATATTTATATCTTCTTCCTTCACAGCAAAACAAAAAAAATCCTGATTAAATCCTGGCTCTGAAAGAAATACATGCCTAAATTTTCATTATGTTAATACTACATACATAGAAGCCAATTAATATCTATGAATTACTTTCAGGTTACTCTGTGGTGATGATGATTTTATCAGCAACCTTGAGAGGGGTAAGAGTTTTTCTTTTTTTTTTTTTTTGAGACGGAGTCTCGCTCTGTCGCCCAAGCTGGAGTGCAGTGGCGCGATCTCAGCTCATGGCAACCTCTGCCTCCCTAGTTCAAGCAATTCCCCTACCTCAGCCTCCCAAGTAGCTGGGATTATAGGCACACACCACCACGCCCAGCTAATTTTTTTTGTATTTTTAGTAGAGACAGGGTTTCAGCATGTTGGCCAGACTGGTCTCGAACTTCTGACCTCAGGCAATCCGCCCACCTTGGTCTCCCAAAGTGCTAGGATTACAGGTGTAAGCCACCTCGCCCGGCCTGAGAGGGGTAAGATTTTAAAATAAGGTAATGTAAAAGTCAACATATTATGTTTCTAAAATCTACCAAATTACTTTCAATTGCATCGACAGGTAATAGAACTACTTATCCTACAGAATTTTCACTATAACCTGTTGAAACACAAGAAACAGCTACTCTTAGGATGAATACTATGAAGATTTTATATATATATATATATATATATTTTTTTTTTTTTTTTTTTTTTTTTTGAGACAGTCTCACTCTGTCGCCCAGGCTTGAGTTCAGTGGCATGATCTTGGCTCACTGCAACCTCTGCCTCCTGGATTCAAGAGACTCATGCCTCAGCCTCCCAAGTAGCTGGGATTACAGGCGTGCGCCACCATACCCATCTAATTTTTTTTTTTTTGTATTTTTTTGTATTTTTAGTAGAGGTGGAGTTTCACCATGTTTGCCAGGCTGGCCTCAAACTCCCAACCTCAGGTGATCTGTCTGCCTCGGCCTCCCAAAGTGCTGGGATTACAGGCGTGAGCCACTGCACCCAGCCAGAATAAACTGATAAAGTCGTATATTACCTTCAGAAACTAATGACTTAATAAATGAAAGACAAAAAAATATTTCAGGACTTTGAAAAGCAGTATTTATCTGTGCACAAAAAAAGATACCCAGGAATGTGTGAGAATTATCACAAAAGGGAGTCTCTTGACCTTGACAGCTTTTCTGAAGAGTTGTTTACATTCTAAGGATTAAAGGTAGTTGAACCACAGATACAGTCTTTTTTGCTTAATTCATTTTCATGATTGACTAAAAGAGGGATCTCCCTCTTTTTATATATGTATTCAGTTGCCTGAGATCATCTCAAGCAATTTTACTTACCTCATCAATATATTCCAACAAGTCCAAAGCTTTCTTGAAATCATATTCATTAGCTCTTCTATTTTCTTCACAGATATATAGCTATGACAAGTTAAAATAAGGTAGAAGATTATACAATCATGTAACTAATACTAGAGACATTTATGGAGAAAAGAAGTCATTATGTCTTGTAAGGAAGTTGTAGTTTGTTTTTTGTTTGTTTGTTTGTTTGTTTTTTTTGAGACAAAGTCTTGCTCTGTCACCCAGGCTGGATTGCAGTGGCACGATCTCAGCTCACTGAAACTTCTGCCTCCCAGGTTCAAGTGATTCTCCTGCCTCAGCCTCCTGAGTAGCTGGGATTACAGGAATCCATCACCACACCTGGCTAATTTTTGTATTTTTAGTAGAGAAGATTTCACCCTGTTGGCCAGGCTGGTCTCAAACTCCTGACTTCAAGTGATCCGCCTGCCTTGGCCATCCAAAGAGCTGGGATTTTAGGCGTGAGCCACTGCACCTGGCCAGTTGTATTTTTATAGTAAAAACAGTCTCATATTTGGAAACTGTATTGCATCCACCTTAAAATAAACTGTCTTTTTAAAAAATGCATATTTTAGGCACGGCACAGTGGCTCATGTCTATAATCCCAGCTCTTTGGGAGGCCGAGGCAGGCAGATTCCTTGAGAACAGGAGTTCGAGACCAGCCTGGGCAACATGGAGAAACCTCGTCTCTACAAAAAGTATAAAAATTAGCTGGGTACAGTGGTGCACACCTGTGGTCCCAGCTACTCCAGAGGCTGAGGTAGGAGGGTCACCTGAGCTTGGGAGGTCAAGGCTGCAGTGAGCTGTGACAGGGCCACTGCACTCCAGCCTGACAGCCCGAGCAATACCAAGATCTTGTCTCTAAAAAAAAATTGAGACCTACAATAAAGTGTACAGTTGATCTATATTCACTTAATAAAAAAACACATCAACATGTTACCAACACTTATCCCTGGTTAGATTACAGCTGACTGCATACTCATTTCTGTATTCTTCAAATTTCCTGTAATTTTTATGGTCAGAAAAATACTTGCCTTATTAAAAATATCAATTTGAATTTTTCCCATCTTCCTTTCCCAAAAACTATAATTTCATTTTTTAAAAATTGTATGTGTAATCCTTTAATAGCAACAATACTCAGACCATTTCAGAAAAAAAGCTATCTGCTTGTGTTCATTGTCTTACAGCACTCAAAAGATAATAGTTTTATTTTGTTGTTCTTGAACATCCTTTTTACTCCACCATCTCTGAAATTGGACTGTGGTATTAAAATTAATAATGCATTAGAGTAAAATCGGCACTACTTTTTTCTTAGTGATACTCAATAGTGAGTTACAATAGAGAGTAACTTCCATTTCCAAATTAAATATATATTCTATCAGGAGAGGCTGTTGTAAATTCAGTTATAACAGGAAATCTGTTACTAATAATGGCTAAAATGCTAATGTATTTTAATTGTTTGCCTTTTCATATAGATAGAACACATTTAAGGTGATCCTACATCACTCTGGCAAAGAGATGCTTCTTCTCTAGACTGCAGTCCGTATTCTGGCTCTGCCCTCGGGGATGTGTTGGGTTGCAGAGGAAAGGGGTAAGGACAGAACTGCTAGACCATGTAAACTGAGTTCCTTAATCCATTTTTTCTTATAGAAGAGCTTGAAAAGTAATTTTGTGGGGGAAATAAAGTTATCTCATGGTACTTATTTGTCCTATACTAGAAAAGCAAAATATAAGTAATTTCTCCTGGTCACCTAGATAAAGCACCTTTAGGTGGAGGTGTATGGGGAGGCAGATGCTGATTAATTTTTCTCTAATTAGCTTTCTGTTCCCAAACAGCTTCAAACAACGTTTTTCTAGGGGAGTTTTCTGGAAGGTAGGCAGTAGAACAATAACTCCTCTTAGGAACTATACTACATGGCCCAACAAACACCAAAAAGGTTTTGAGTTTAAGAAATAGCGTTAAGGATTTGAAAAGCACATACACCAATGAGTTGTGGTGCAGTCAATACTGGCATCGCACTGAGATTTAGCTGTTTCTCCGCCAGCAGCTGTTCAGGTAGGGTCTCCTGATGCAGTAGAAAGCGCTCCTGCTCAGCCATTTCTAGTATTCAAGATGAGAGGGAGGGAAAGAGAATATGATGAAATTTGACTTTTGCTCTCATTTTTGCTGTCATAAAACAAATCTGAATTTTAAAAGAAAAAAATAGCTCCAGAGGTAAACCTATCTTTATTCAATGATCTCAGAATGCTTTTAATTCTTATTCTTGATTGCCGGTTATGTTTACAACATATCCATGGTTTGATCAAAGTCCTAAGAATTATCACAGCAACGAGAAATAGGAGGGAAGAGAACAAGTAAGGAAATACGTTCAATGCTTGAAGAAGTTGGAGAGCAGATAGCTATTTCATGAGGTATAAGCTTCCTAAGTGTGGAGATCTCTCCATCATATTTTATAATTCAGTAAAATTTTTCCCACTAGAATTTATAGTATATAGTTGGCCCTTGAATAACAAGGGGGATGGGCCACTAAGCTCCCGTGCTGTCAAAAATCCCAGCATAACTTTTTAAAGAGATGGGGTCTTGCTATGCTGCCCAGGCTGGTCTCAAACTCTTGGGCTTGAGTGATCCTCCTGTTCTAGCCTCCCAAAGTGTTGGGAGGGTAACTTTCGACTCCCCAAAAGCTTAACTGCTGCTGCCAGCTTCACAAATTTCCATTTTTTAAAAAATAATGGTCATTAAGCTAGACTAATTTATATTGAAATGGGGATAGCCAAAACTGCAGACCTCAGTCTGTGGTGCATATCAAGCAATTCCACTTCTTGTAATGTCACGACTTTCCTAGGCTTCTTGGGAGCATGTCTAGCATCACCTAGTGGCACTTCATATGAGTCTCAAGGTGTTATTTAAGGTTTATGGTATTGCATTAAACACAGGAAAAAATACTCGAGAACTATGAGAAATCACTTCTTACTGCAATAGGAAATTTACTTTTTGCTGCAATAGGCAATTTACTGGGGTGTAGACAAACTTCTCAAACAGAGATGATCAGAATCATTTTAACTGGATCATCACTTTAATTGGGGTTTTAATTGAATACTGTTAACACTTCAGCAAGCGGACACTTGCCCACAATAGCAATAGGAGGTGGCTATGAAATTATTACAGTAAGTACAGTATGTATTAGTTAATTCTGTGATTTAATGCTGCCTATTTACATTGTTTACATTTGCCTCCACTGTGAATGGTGCTATGTGAGGTCTGTGTTTGTGTGTTGATAAATTTTAACTTTTTATAACAGACCTGTGTATGTTCTATGGTAGTAAATGATAAAATAGACTACATATGTTTTATGTATTCATAACCTGTCTTTTTCTTAATTTTTTTTTGGTATATCTAGGCTACACAGTTATACATGGTGTATATCTATGAGTGTTTTCATGTTGTTGAAAATCTCCGAAATATATTGATTGAAAATAATCTGCATGTAAGTGGACCCATGCAGTTCAAGCTCATGTTGTTCAAGGGTCAACTGAGTTTCATTCGCAAATGGAAATGATGTAAAAGCTACCATGAGTCTATCAAGAAAAACAAGACCTGGAAGAATATACAGCACATCTCCTAGGCAGCAAGGGTTATCTCCATTGGATGAGGTAACAGGGGCTTCTGTTTGCCATAAACTCTCCAGGTTGCAGCCCATGACCTGACTCCGCCCCAGGGAATGTGCTGAGTTGCAGGAAAGGGTGAAAACTGCTAGGCAGCCTCATAAACACAGCATTCACAGCAAAACAGTGACCAAAACACAGATACTTTCGCTCAAATACTGGCAGCATTCCCCGTGATCCTGGTTTTGGAAAAATTAAATGGAACACTTTTGTCCATTTCTGTACCTAGAAAATCAGACTGGGAGGAAACCCACAAAACAGTACCAGTGGCTATCTCCGGGGAGGTAGGACTACAGACAACTTATTTTTCCTATTGAATTTTTTCTATAATTTACACATTTTCCATGAGGAATTATTTAACTACCAGAAGAGTTATTTTTAAAAAGTCTATCCCCTCCGATTAGACACATTGTGCTAACAGTCTGTAGAATCACTGAGACCTGCAAATGTTCCCATCGCGTTAAGAAATAAAAGCTAAGAAGTGATCAAATGCAAAGCAGGGAGAAAGAAGAAACAGGAAAGCCTTGGTTAAAATGCTTTGATTAACATGATCTACCTCTGGTGGCCAGGCTAAAATATGGCTTCCCCTCTTAGACTATCAGCCAGTCCTATAGAATATAAACACACTTTTTTTAGAACAGGCGCTACTAGTGCAAAAAATAAAAAGATTGAAGGAAGATTATCCCAAACAGTAAAAAATAATTTTAATAAAAGGGGCTAATACCTATAATTTATTGAGTACTTAATATATGCAAGCCATTTTTCCCAAGACAGTGTCCTCAATCCTTACAACTACCCTTGTTATAGATGAACAAACTGAGGCGAAGGAGCATAAATTAACTATCCAAGGTCACAAAGCTAGTAAGTTCTGGAGAAAATATTGAAATCCCAATTCTTTCTACTATATCCACTCCCTCAAAAGGAAAAAAATGACAGCAGTATAATTTAAACCCAGATCTTAGGCTGGACTCTGTGGATAAGCCACATAACCAGATATCCATATCTGCATATACTTGATCCAAACCACATAGCTGAGATTCCCCGCTCCAATTTTTATTTTGAAAAATTCCAGGCTGGGTGTGGTGGCTCATGTCTATAATCCCAGCACTTTGGAGGCCGAGGTGGGCACACTGCTTGAGCCCAGAAGTTTTGAGACCAGCCTGGGTACACATGGTGAAACCCCATCTCTACAAAAAAATACAAAAATTAGCCGGGCATGGGAGCATGCACCTGTAGTCCCAGCTACTGGGGAGGCTGAAGCAAGAGCATCACCTGAGTCTAGGAGTCCGAGGCTGCAGTGAGCCATGATTGTGCCACTGTGCTCCAGCCTGGGCAACAGAGTGAGACCCTGTCTCAGAGAAAATAAATAAATAAAAATAAAAAACAGAAAAAGTCCAAATCTACAGAAAAAATTTTAAAATGCCAATGTGCACGTTATATCCTCCAGCTAGAGTCATCTGTTGCTAACACTCTGTCCCTTTTGCTTTCTCTATGTATATAGGTAATTTTTTTTCAGCATATGAAGGTTGCAGACATCATGACATTTCATTTCTAAATACTCAGCATGTATCTCCTAAAAACAAGGACATTCAACCACAATACGATTATCAGGCTTATATAATTTAACATCAATACAGTTATATCATCTAATACTAAGTATGTTCAAACTTTCTCCCACTTGTTTCCAAAACATTCACCATAACTGTTACGGTTATTTTGAGGGTGATTCAGGATCAAGAATCTCGCTCTGCATTTGCTTCTGTGTCATGGCTCTTAGGTTCCTTTCATCTAAAACAGCCTGTCTTTTGTCTTTCATGTTGGTAAAGTTTTTGAAGAGTCTAGGGCAACTGTATTATACAATGTCCCACCAGCAGGTTATGTCTGATTGTTCTCTTGTAATTAGAATAAGGGTGAACATTTTGGCAAGAACAGGACACACGTGATGGTAGTACATTGCTTCAGGAGTGGTACACAATGTGGTTTGTTTTGTGGTTGATGACAGGGTCTATTAGATTTGTCTACTGATACTCCAAAACCACGGGAATATCCTGTTCCCCTAGCCCCTAAACTCAATGGTCTCAGCATCCTCTGGTGACCAGTTATTCACCGTGGTTGTAATAGTGACTTCTGCCATTGTTTTCACATTTATTAGTTGGCATTCTCCTGTAAAGAAGCATTTCACTGACCCTCTCCCTTTTTGAAAATCACTGTAGACTCATGAATTTTTTTGTCTTATAAACTGTGGAATATACCCTTTACTACCAATCTTTTGATGTTCAAATAGTCCCCAAACTTGAACAGTGGGAGCTGTTCAAGGCTCTTGTATTATTTTAGTATCTCTACATTAACCTTGCTTTCTGGCCCAATAAGACTCTCCAAGATTTCTTCAATAAGCCCTCACTTCTTTTACTGGAAAACGGTAGTCAGAAACCAACATATGGAACTAGGTATACTCATGCTACTGGGGTGTCACTGCAGAGACAAGAAATACGTATGTGTGTGTGTGTATAGATAAAATGTATATATATGTGTATTGTGTATATATATATACACACAATTTTATATATACACACACACATTTTATTATGTATATCTATCTATCTACATATATATAGAGAGAGACTTTTTTTTTTTTTTTCTGAGGCAGAGTTTTGCTCTGTTGCCCCAGCTGGAGGGCAGTGGCACAATCACATCTCACTGCCACCTCAACCTCCTGGGCTCAAGTGATCCTCTCACCTCAGCCTCCCCAGTAGCTGGGACTACAGGCGCACACCACCACACCTGGCTAAGTTTTAAATTTTTTGTAGAGACAGGTTGTTACTAAGTTGCCTAGGCTGGCACAATCTCCTGGGCTCAAGCAATCCTCCCACGTCAGCCTCCCAAAGTGCTGGGATTACAGGCGTGAGCCACCAAACCCAGCTGATGTATTTTTTTAATTGACGCATAATAATTATACATATTTATGGGGTACAATGTGATGCTTCAATACATGTATATGTTGTGTAATGATCACAGGGTAATTAGCATACCCATCACCTCAAGCAAGAAAATATATTGTTTTTAAAAATCAGATTCTATCTGGTATTTCCAATTCAAATTCAATAATACAGAGTTTTTCTTCACTGTCTTTCTATATTTGTACTCCTCTCTCCTTGGTTCTAAAAAATAATAGCATCATGCCTCAGTATCTGCTGACAACTGGTTCTAGGACCCATAGGAATACCAAAAAGCTCAACTCCCTTATATAAAAACGGTAGTTACTTGCACATAACCCACATACATCCTCCCATATACCTTAAATCACCTCTAGATTATAATACCTCATACAACGTAAATGCTAAGTAAATAGCTGTTATACTGTATTGGTTTTTTAAAATTTGCATTATTTTGTTTTAATTTTGCATTATTTTTGTTGTTTTAATTTTTTTGTTAATTCTCTTGTTGTAATTTTAATTGTTGTTGAATATTTTTAATTCTTTTTTCCCCAAATATTTTTGATGTTTGGTCGAATCTGCAGATGTGGAATCCAAGAATATGAAGGGCCAACTGTACTATATGTAATCGTTTTCATCTACAATATACACAAAATAGTTCAGAATTATTGCACCTATACCACACTACCTACAACAAACCCACTGTGTAAAGGTCAAGATTGCTTTGTAGTTCTTTTTGCCCTTGGAATATTTATCACTAAAGGTACATAATCAGACCTCTCCAATCAAAATCATTTGAGTCTATTCTTTAGGAATTCTTATTTAAAATACAAACTACTTTTCTCTAAAAAAATTCCAAGTATATAATTGAGTAACTACACATGGACATTAACTAAATGCATTCCTCTTAGAGACAGGTCCTGTTTCTAAGAGATAGATCCTGCTAACTGATGACAGGAACACATCATGAGTTAATTGATGGCATGACCAATTTGTAAATCCTTTTGCTCAAATTCTTTCACCTTCAATTTTTTCTTGTAGCATATCCTCTGAAAAGTCTGAAGCTAATGCAGCCAATTTACTCAAGCCAAGAAGGGTTTTCTTCTTTGCAAAGTAACGAGTTTCCATATTTGCCAAACCCAGAAGTGTTGCATGAGCCTACAATAAAATATGCAAACCATCGTAAGATACTGAGTACCAATTCAAGCTGAAACAAAGGTAAGTAAACCCCAAACTTGTTTTTCTCCCCTAAGCCGTATCAATGAATGAGAAGTCAACAGTTAGCAAACCTAAAAACTGAGCAGTACGTAACATTGAGAGTAATTACACAGCAAAATATCAACCATCCTCACTAAATATTGGGAAAAGAGACATGCACAAAACATTTGCTCTAAAACTTACATATTCACCTGAACATCCTGTCAAGAACAAATTTTAAAATTAATTTGTATGTTTTTACTCATAATTTGAATATTACAACAATATACTCATTGCAAAAAGGCCAATGACTGTTACAGACACATCATTAAAATTTTTGTGATTTTAATGTGATGTCAAATCATGATGGACTACATTTTTTTTTTTTTTTTTTTGAGAGAGCCTCACTTTGTCACCCAGGCTGGAGTGCAATGATATAGTCTCAGCTCACTCAACCTTCGCCTCCCGGGTTCAAGTGATTCTCCTGCCTCAGGCTCCTGAGTAGCTGGGATTACAGGCATGAGCCACAGGCACCCAGCCTGGACTACATATTTTTATTGAGATATTAGAATGGCAATACCATCACAAATTAAGAATGTTTTATGCAAATTATGTGGGAAAATAGGAGTACACATTCTAAATAATCCATAAGAAATGCTTTTAAATTTAAAAAAATTATTGTATACTAATGAATTATAATTGTATATATTTATGGATACACAGTAATAATATATGTATGTGATGTGGAATGATTAAATCAAGCTAATTAACATGCCCATCACCTCAAATACCTATCACTGTGGTGAGAACATTTCAAATTTGTTCTCTTGGAAATTCTAAAATGTACAATACACTATTATTAACTTTAGCCATCATATTGTGCAATGTATATAAAAAATGTTCCTGGCTGGGTGCAGTGGCTCATGCCCGTAATCCCAGAACGTTGGGAGGCTGATGTGGGTGGATTGCTTGAGCCCAGGAATTCAAGACCAGCCTGGGCAACACAGTGAGACCCTGTCTCTAAAAAAACAAAAATAAAAATAATCTTCTTCCTTCTAACTGAAACTTGTACCCTTTGACCAACTTCTCCGGCCCATCTCCCCTTTTAAATTGGGTTATTTGTCTTCTTGCAATTGAGCTGAGTTCCTTATATGTATGTATATATGTATATGTGTATGTGTGTACCTGTGTGTGTGTGCGTATAACATCCCCTCACCCTTCTGACAGCCACCATTCTTCTGCTTCCATGAGTTCAATTGTTTTGGATTCCACATATGAGTTATTTGTCTGTGTCTGGCTTATTTGGTTTAGTGTAATGTTCTCCAGCTTCATCAATGCTGTTGCAAATGAGAGAATTTCCTTCTTTCTTAAGGCTATTACTGCATTGTGTATTCTATATACAACATCTTCTTTATCATTTACACTGATTGATGGACACTTAGGTGGATTCCATAACTTGGCTACTGTGAAAATGCTGCAATGAACATGGGAGTGCAGGTACCTTTTCAACATACTGACTTCAACTCCTCTGGATATATACTCACAAGCGGGATTGCCAGATCATATGGTATTTCTATTTTTAACTTTTTCAGGAACCTCCATACAGTTTCCCATAATGGTTGTACTAACTTACATCCCCACCAAGAGTGCATCAGGGTTCCCTTTTCTCCATGTCTTCTCCAGCACTTGTTACCTTCACCTTTTTGGTAACAGCCATTCGAACAAATGTACGGTGATGTCTCATTGTGATATAAATTTGCATTTCCCTAATGATGAGTGATGCAGAACATTTTTTTCACACATCTATTGGTCATCTGCATGTCTTTTTTTGAGAAATGTCTATTCAGGTCTTTTGCCATTCATTCATTCACTTATTTTGAGACAAGGCCTCACTCTGTTGCCTAGGCTGGAGTGCAATGGTGCAATCTCAGCTCACTGCAGCCTCAACCTCCAGAGCTCAAGTGATCCTCCTGCCTCAGCCTCTCAAGTAGCTGGGACTACAGGTGTGTGTCACCACACCTGGCTAATGTTTTTGTTATTTATGTTTCCTAGGCTGGTCTTGAACTCCTGCACTCAAGAGATCCACCTGCCTCAGCCTCCCAAAGTACTGGGATTACAGGTATAAGCCACCATGCCCAGCTCCCTTATATATTTTGGATAGTAACCCCTTCTCAGGTATATGACAGTAAACAGTATTTTAATTACTAAAAACAAAACTAATTAAAACTACCTAAATAAATTGCACACATCTGCTCCATAGAAAAATCCTTCTTACCTTTTCTAATTCTTGGCTATTAATTTCATGTAACCAGCTGAGATGTTCATGAGCTTGCAAAAAATTTGCCAACTGTCCATGCTGAGAAATGGGCTGAGATAATAATTTGCCTCGCTTTCCTTTCTCCAGATACCAACGGAAGAGAAAGTCTGAAAAATTCTACAAATAACAGAACATAGAATTCATTCATAATAGTTTAAAAAAACACATTTCTGATAACAAAACATAACTTTGTTCTAAAGGCCTCCAAAACAGAAAACCTGTTCTAAACAATAATTTCCTATATTGTAGGATCACTTAATTCAATCATCTCATTTGACAGATGTGTACATTGTGATTCAGAAAGGGCATCTTGCTCAAGATCACTGACAAGATTAATGGCAGAATCTAGATGTGCGCTGGCCAATATGGTAGCAACTGGCCATACGTAGCTGTTTAACTTAAATAAAAAATTAGCTTGAAATTTAAAATTCAGTTCCTTAGGTACATTAGCCACATTTCAAGTGCTCAGTAGCCCCATGTGGCCAGTGGCTCCCATTTGGACAGCGCATTATCAACAGCTCCATTATCACAGAAAGCTCTGTGGGACAGCACCGAGACTGTAACATTCCAGAATTCTGCGCCAGCTGGCCACATGGCCTGGCATGATACATCAAAATCTAGAGAGGCCCAAATGCCCAGCCAGTTTTCCCCACTGGCTGTTTGTGGAGTGTTGGGGTGGTGTGGAGGCTGAGCTGGAGAGGAAGACCAAGACGTTCTACAGTCTCACAGTGTTTAAGAGATACTTTCCCTAAAGCAGGGATCCTGCCATGAAAGACTTCTGACACCAGAAATGAAATGAATATTACAAGAGCTGAGACCGAGTCCTGGGCCACCTCTATTCCTAATGAACTGAGTCATCTTCCTCTCCTCTAAATTGCCTAACAGAGAAAAAGGAAAATCCACGAGGGGACAAATAACATCAATTTCCATACTATGGAGTTTTAAAAATATACAATGTCTAAAATACAATTTAAAAATTACCAGATATAGGAAGCAGAAAACTATGATTCAAGCAACATAAAAGCAGGCAACATAAACAGACTCAAAGATGATCAGAGTAAGCACAAAAGGACTTTAAAATAACATTTAAACATGTTAAATATAAGAAAAAATGCAAAAATGCATGAAAAGAGAAAGAAAATCCATAAAAATAATTTTAAAATCATGATCAGTGCAAAAAATATTTATTTAGCAATGTTTTGATATACTAAATAAGCCATGTCCAACTACTGACCTTTTTTTTTTTTTTGAGACGGATTCTTGTTCTGTTGCCCAGCCTGGAGTGCAGTGGCACGATCTTGGCTCACTGCAACCTCCTCCTTTTGGGTTCAAGGGATTCTCCTGCCTCAACCTCCAGAACAGATGGAATTACAGGCACACGCCACCATGACTGGCTAATTTTTGTATTTTTAGAAGAGACGGGGTTTTGCCATGTTGGCCAGGCTGGTCTCGAACTCCTGACCTCAGGTGATCTGCCCACCTCGGCCTCCCAAAGTGCTGGGATTACAGGCGTGAGCCACCTTGCCCAGCCCAACAACTGATCTTTGATGAAGTAAGTCATACCCAGTCAATGAAATACTATAATGCCATTAAAAATGCTGCTGTAGAATATTTAATGACATGAACAAATGTTTGCAATGTATCAAGTGAAAAAAGCAGTTGACAAAACATGTTTGTTTATAATACATAGAGTGGAAAGACTGAAAATATAAACCAAATGCTTAAAAGGTTCTCTCTGGGTGGTGGCATTTTGAGTGATTTTTATCTTTTGTGTTTATAGTGGTTTTCTAAATTTTATACAATATCACTTTTACAGTAATAAAAAATAAGCTTTTCATAGTAATCAACTGACTGAATAGACTGGCTTCAAGCAACAACTTTGAATTCACTTAAGATAGTGTCACAATGGAAATTTTTTTTTTTTTTAAAGATAGGTCTTCCTCTGTCACCTAGCTGTGGTGTAGTGGCACAATCTTGGCTCACTGGCCTTGACCTCCTGGGCTCAAACGATCCTGCCACCTTAGCCTCCTGAATAAGTGTGGCCATGGGCGTGTGGTGGCATGTTTTTTAAAAAAATTTTTTTTGTAAAGGCAGGGTCTATGTTGCCCAGGCTGGCCTCAAACTCCTGGCCTCAAGTGATCCTACCGCCTTGGCCTCTCAAAGTGCTGGGATTACAGCATGAGCCACTGAGGCTGGCTGGGAACTTTGTTTTTTAAACAGGAAGCATAATATCCCTCAAGGAAAATGAGAATGTTAGGTGTATTTGTAAAGCTAAGCTCTCTTAAAGTAGTCTTCTATGCTCCCGAGTATCTTCTATACAATTTTTAAGAACTTTACCAATATTCATGTACCTAAGTACTTTTATAATAACTAGAAAATATATAAACAGAAATGAAAGTTATATTTTCCAAAGGTCAAAGAATCTTTCAGTAATATTTATATATAAAGAATTGTGTGGTCAGGCGATGGCTCATGCCTGTTATCCCAGCACTTTGGGAGGCTGAAGCAGGAGGATCGCTTGAGCCCAGGAGTTTGAGACCAGCCTGGACAACATAGCGAGACTTTGTCTCTACTGAAAAATGAACAAAATTAGCCAGGCATGGTGGCGAGCTCCTGTGGTCCCATCTACTGGAAAGCAGGAGGTGTGGGAGGGGGTGAGGTGGGAGAAGTGATTGGACCCAGGAGGTTGAGGCTGTCGTGAACTGTGATCTCGCTACTGGACAAAATTTACAAAGAAACGCGACATACAAATTAGTATCTTCTCATCAAAGTTAACTACAAAAAGATCGTATCATATTCCAAAAGCCCTGATTACAGATTTGAAATGGCAAAGCCATTTCAAGAAAAGGCAACTAAAGGACTCAGTGGCCACACACCCAACACTCATCACCTGATCAGCAAACTGGGTCATGTAGCGCTGGAGTCGGCTCTGGTTGTCAGTCTGCTCACACATTTGTACCAATATATCAAAGTCACAGTATTTCTCTGCTAGAGAAGCAGCCCACAGGTACTGGCCTAGTGAAACTGTGGGAATGAGAAAAGATGGGAAAAAATCCTGTTAGCAAAACTTAAAATCTGTAATAAAAAATGTTACTTGAAATTTTATCTTTATTCCTATTATAAACCAACAATCATTAATGGAATGGAAACCTTCCCACTTACTGGCACTTAGTTTCACAATTCACATCAATTTCTTAAAGATGCAAATTCAGGCCAGGTGCGGTGGCTCACACCTGTAATCCCAGCACTTTGGGAGGCTGAGGCGGGTGGATCACCTGAGGTCAGGAGTTCGAGTCCCGCCAGGCCAATATGGTGAAACCCCATCCCTACCAAAAATACAAAATTAGCCAGTTGTGGTGGCACACGCCTGTAATCCCAGCTACCTGGGAGGCTGAGGCAGGAGAATTGTTTGAACCCGGGAGATGGAGGTTGCAGTGAGCTGAGATTATACCACTGCACTACAGCCTGGGCGAGAGAGTGACGCTCTGTCTCAACAAAAAAAAAAGATGCAAATTCAGACCCTTGTTTCATCACTGCCTCCCCAAAACGCTATTCTCTTCCTTCATGTAAGAGTAAAGCAAACTCTTCCCAGTCCTAGCCTGGAGTATAATGTGTCCTTTGCCAAACAGCCATAATATCTTATCTGTACCCCTCAAGCAGCCCTCACCAGGCTCTACTTTGCAATCCAGTTATTCACGTAAAGGTCTGTGATGCTAAGCTCTTTAAGGGTAGTCTCCACATGTTGTTTGTTTATGTATTTATTAATTGTCTTCAGTATCATCTATGGTACTTATACCTAGATAGTACTGGAAAAAAAGTTGAATAAATGAGCACAGAAAGCTGTGCATATTTGCTTTAAGTTCTTTATTACAGTTGGATTAACACTACCACACTGAATATACTGAATTAACTATTCAACCCTTTCATCCATTCAGCAAATTTAAAACTCTTGCCAAGTATCATGAACTTACGAAGAGGAGATAAGAGATCTGATCTTTTCTGTAGGTATTCCATCTCCAGATTGTCATATCTTTCCCGATTACTGGATTTATCCACAGACTTAAGCTGAGAAACATAACCATCCAGGAAGCAATCGATCAGGGCTACCAGCTGCTCGGTCACGATGTTTCGGAGGTTGCTGTCTGCCTGTGGATAAGCCACCTTCAGGACAATCTCATGCTGGCGTATTATTACCGTTCGGATGCCACCAGGACCACTTGTTGCTGTGAAATTACACAAAATAATATGGTTAAAGTAAGGGATCTAGTGATGGCTAAAGGAAAGACTAATAGCATAAAAATTATGCCTCTTCATCACTGCTGGAAAATTACATTGAACAGGGATTCAGGTGATACCTGTCAATGCCCTGCTTGAATCCCATCTTCTCCAAGGAGATTTCCTCAGCAAAGCCAGGTAAACATGACTCTTCTTCCTTCTAAATTCCTTTAATGCTACTCCACTTACTTTCTTGTATTAAATCAACATAAAATATAGTCCATACCTCCGGGGCCAGGACTGCTTCTATGAATAACTATTTGAACTAAAACCTAGTAAATGCATAAGTACCAGTTGAATACATAAATTATAGAGAGATCGATAAATAAGAGCAAGGGACGAATAAAGTGATTTTGACAAGAGCTGCTCATTTTGGAGACGGCACTTTTTCATTTCACTTACAAACCTACGCTAGGGGAATAACACAACTTCTAAAAATGATGGGTCATTAGAAATATATTTTGAACAACTGTTAATAAATCAGTATATTACCCGTCCATGGAACATATTCAGGTTCTTTTTCTAGTGATTCTTCTCTTCTATACAAAGAGTTTCTATTTTGGCGATAATGACTAGCAGCCTGCAGCATATCCTGGAAAAAAAGTTAATGTGTTATCACATGCAAAAGGTGATGGATCACAGTATTTCTGAAGATAATTTAAGACAGCAAAGTAAATTAGTAAGAAAAAATACTCAGGGGCCAGGAATGTTGGCTCACACCTGTAATCCCAGTGCTTTGGGAGGCTGAGGTAGGAGGATTGCTCCTAGCCTGACAACATAGTGAGACCCCATCTGTACAAAAAATTTTTAAAATTACCTGGGCATCGTGGCGTGCACCTACCGTCCCAGCTACTTGGGAGACTGAGGCAGGAGGACTGCTTGAGCCCAGGAGGTGGAGGCTGCAGTGAGCTATAATCAAGCCACTATAAACCCAGCCTGGGCAATGGAGTGAGACCATGTCTCACAAAAAAAAAAAAAAAAAGAAAAGAAAAGAAAATGAGAGAAAAAAGTCAGCACAGATCTGCATGATTACTTTTTGGTTCTTTCTGCTTTTGAAATTTGTTTTACTCCATAATTTAACTTCAGTTTTGGCAAATAATAGTAGGAAAATTATTTGGCAAAGTAGGAAAATCATTACTACAAGTCCACTAGCTAAAATTAAATGGAACGTTTTAGTCAATAGTAAAAGTAGCAAGGTTTTGAGTAATTAAAAAAATAGAAATGAGAAATATTTAGACAGTTACATTAACAATACGTTTGCAATCAGGCATGGTGTCTCAGTTCTGTAATCCCAACACTCTTGGAGGTTGAGGCAGGAGGAAGTCGTGAGCCCAGAGTTCAAGGTTACAGTGAGCTATGATGGTGCCACTGCACTCCAGCTTGGGTGACAGTGAGACCTTCTCTCAGAAAAAAAACCAACTAAAAAATTGCAAAGATACAAACACATCTTCCCAAATGAAAGGTTTATTATTCTACCAAATAGAAACTCAAGATTATAGAAATTTATTAATAGGCACCAGGCTAACATTCAAAATACTCATTAGCTGATTAATAATAAAATGACATTTTTCTAACTTTTTTGGGATTAACAAATGTCTACAACCTTATACATTATCGGCAATACAGAGTAGGAACATGGAAACCAGTTCCTTGTCTATCCATGCCCTGGGCTTTGATTTGCTGAAGCCTTTACTATATTTTTGTACCTTGAGAATATTGTTCACATTGATCACCACTTCAGCCCATTCAATGGAATCCATAGGTGCATCCCTCAAGACTTGCTCCTCATGCTCCAGTAAGCACTCACAGATGGTATCTACTTGGGATACCTGAGAGAATACACAGAAGTAAACTACTTACAACAAAAATTATGGTGATGGGTAACAACTACCCAGTGAGTTTTACTCATTAAGCCATATCCTCAGACCTATAGATGGAGGAAAATTTATTGGCAGTTGATGGTAAAAATAAATTCAAAAATCAAGAAAAGTCACATCTCCTAACTTTTAAAAGTCAGAGTGCCCAAATAAGTCTTATAAACAGGCAAATTCTGGATTGTTACTGAGATTTTTAAGCGATGATATTTTTTATTATAGCTACTCTGCTCAGTGCATCTTTAAATAGCACTAGGTTACAGATGACATCACTTTACAATGTAATACCCCAAACTAATGAACTAATAGACTAAAATAATGACCTCAAAAAGTGAACTTGCTAATTTCTTTCTTTGAGGAATTCCCCTTCTTCAGACATAACAGAAACATTTGTAGAACAGAAGTAAGCAACATAAGAGAATGAACTAAATACATAACTTCTAACTCTTCCTTTGTCATTAATTAATACATGGAGATAACAGTGCAAAAATACCATCAGGCACTGAAACTCCTGTTTCAAGTTCAAGTCTGCACTTAAGCTTTCCCCCCATTATTTAGAGTTTGCATAGCAATGGACACTCAGAGATAAGAGGAAAGAAAAATCAGATTAGCTGCCCTCAAGGACCTCACAAACTGGCTGAAGGAACAAGTTATATAGGCACAGATAAAACATGACCCAAACAAAATCCCTCCCTTTTGCAAACCTTGTTCTTCCTTTTGCATTTCTGATGTTAGCCAAAGGCATCCTAACAGCCCAGGCAAGAAATCTTTAGCACATTTAATTTATAAGCTTAAGTGTAAGAATATTTTACATTGTTAACATGAAAAACACAATGAAAGCCTATATAATGGCCGGGTGCGGTGGCTCATGCCTGCAATCCCAGCACTTTGGAGGTGGGTGGATCACAAGGTCAAGAGATCAAGACCATCCTGGAAAACATGGTGAAACCCTGTCTCCACTAAAAATACAAAAATTAGCTGGGCGTCGTGGCGTGCACCTGGAGTCCCGGCTACTTGGGAGGCTGAGGCAGGAGAATTGCTTGAACCAAGGAGGCCGAGGCTGCGGTGAGCAGAGATTGTGTCACTGCACTCCAGCCTGGCGACAGAGCAAGACTCAGTCTCAAAAAAAAAAAAAAAGGAAAGCATATATAATATAAAAGACAGAAAATAACATAAAAGCACATAAAATGCCAAAACACTTGTTAAATTCTCTTATCATGTATATATTCAGTGATTTCAAATATTGCTCATATGCCGTGTCAACATAGTCTGTTCCTTAAGCAGTGAGCTCTGCTTTTCCAGAGCCCTGGGAGGTACAAGGCCTTCCCAAACTGGAGACAGAGTCAAAGTGGAGAGCGCACCCTCAGGCAGCTCTGTATTGTTTTACTTTCTATCAGGGCTGCCAAGTCAAAATATCGTTCTATATGGCCCACCAATCAGAGATTGATTTTGGTTAACCAGCTCGTCCCAAAACACAAATACTCCTTAGACAGGTAACTTGTCACCCCCAAGTGGAAGGACAGGTAAAAAGAAAGAAAAACTACTATATGCATATAGCTATTGTATTCTCTTTTCATGATCATTATGACACGGGAGAAAACCTTTATAACTACACCCCAGAGAAGCTAAAGACCAACGAACATCATGAGAAATGAAGATAAATAGTGACAGGAACAGTCCTAAACATTACCATTTTTCATATGGAACATTCTTTTGAGGAGCCAATCACATTTTTAGTTTTGCTGTATCATATTCCTAAAATATTATTCTATATGTATCCAACTGATAATTTCCAGACCCTTCTCCAATAATTCAGCTAACTGAAACATGTACATACACTAAATTGACACTTATACTTTGCCCTTTGATCCAAATGCAGAATAATGAACCAGGCTCTTGCTCAGTTCTTACAAGTAGTCTGTAATTAATTTTAAAAAATTGTCTTATCATATAAAATTATATATGAATAAAGACCAAAAAGGACACAAAAATGACAACAACTTGATTTGTTAGATCATGAAACTTGAGGTGATTTGTTTTTCTTTCAGATTTCTGGCATACTGTCTAGATTAAAAACAAAACATAACAAAGTGCTTTTCCTTCCATTCCCCAGGAACTAACCCAAATGCATAAAAGCAAAGAATTCACACTAAACACATTTATGGAATCAACAGGAAGACTGAATTTAGGTTATAGTACATCAAACTTAGGTTACAGTACATCAAACATTAAGAAAAAGAGACTTGTCGGCACAGTGTGCTACATGTTAGAATACAGCTAGGCTATAGGAGGAAGGAAGCAAAATTTGAGACACCAAATAGAGTTTGAAGTTCCTCAAATGCATAAGGAATTCCAAATTTCACAGAGCTCAGGGAAGAGCTGGCCCTGTTTCTAAAACCAGATAGTTCTGCAGTCTCAGTTAAGACAACAGGTCTAAGTTCTAATGTCACACCTTTAAAGGGAGACAGCGAAGTCTGCCTTGCTGCCTCATCAGGCTGTGAAGCTTCACAAAAGCACGAGGACTGCGTCACTATTTCCACAATGTCCAGCTGCCACTGGCTGCCCAGCATCTTAACCATTTCTGTCTTTGAAGTTTGTAGCAGACTTTACTTTTTCTCTGAAAATAAATCTGATTCTACAAGCAAGGTGTAGCAACAGGATCCTAGGAGGTAGCTGAGGAGTTCAGTGAAGGTACTGTTTGCAAAGGTGTGGGCAAGATTAAGGGGTCCAAAAAGGGATGGGGCAGCACCCTAGGATGAGGCATTATCAACCTCAGGCCTGAAGAGGCACAAGGAGGGGGCAGCTACTGGAAACACAGAGAAAGCAGTTGGACAGGAGGCACAGTCCCTGACAGAGGGGCACAGCCAATGTAAAGTGCGCACAGGCAAGGAAGAAAGCTGGCAGAATAACTACTCCAACTTCTGGCCTTATGGCAGGGCCTCACATTCATCTGACCTGGCAGAAGCCGGAGGGCAAGGGAGCCCATTCAGGAAGGCCACCTTGCTGTGGCAGAGTCAAGAGTAGATCTGCCTGGCCAACAAGGGTGAAACCAGGTCTCTACTAAAAATACAAAAATTAGCTGGGCATGGTGGCACATGCCTGTAGTCCCAGCTACTTGGGAGGCTGAGGCAGGAGAATTGCTTGAAGCCAGGAGGCAGAGGTTGCAGTGAGCCGACATTGCACTGTTGCACTCCAGCCTGGCAACAGAGCAAGACTTAGTGCCCCCTGCCCCCAGAAAAAAGAGTAGATCGAGAGAGACAAAGGAGAAGATCAGGATGGATGCAGTAGCTCACGCCTGTAATCCCAGCACTTTGGGAGGCTGAGGCGAGTGGATCACCTGAGGTCAGGAGTTCGACATCAAACCCCATCTCTACTAAAAATATGAAAATTAGCCGGGGTGGTGGCTAGCACCTGTAATCCCAGCTACTCGGGAGGCTGAGGTAGGAGAATCACTGGAACCCGGGCAACAGAGTGAGACTCCATCTCAAAAAAAAAAAAAAAGAAGATCAGCATGCAAAGCAAATAGGTACTTGGAGACAGTTATTGGGGGAAAAAAGTAAACAGGGAGCACTTCTTAGTCAACTTTGCAAACTCTTCTTTACAGGTAACTGATCAATGAGACTTCTGAGTGACACTCTAGCCAGAAAATCTGGAGTCCAATTTAAAATTTCAGTGAGATCTTTTGTGATTTAACTCGTCCTCACCGTCTTTCCTGCCTAGGGCATGATCACTAAATGGCACAGTTCTACAAAGCCACATGAAAGAGGACTCATCTTACCTCCCTGAAAAAGACATCTGCAGGAGTCAGGTTGGATGGGATTTCATACTCCCTCTTGTTCAAAGCAATCAATATGGCTGTGTTGACAAGGTCAGAAAGCCGGGAGTGGTGGTTCTTGAGAACAATGGCGGCTGACAGCTTTTCGGCATGCTCACAGAGCAACAGTCGAGTGGCCATCGGTGTCCCTCTAACTGGAAAACTGCCTAGACGTCCAAATAAGCCAACCTTGCAAAAAGGCAAACACATATTCTCAGAAAGCAATTATGGTAACATGCAAAATACCATAGCTGTATTTTCCCCAGAAGCACCCTGGGCAGTCACTGGCCCCAGCTTTCCCCCAGCAAGTCCCTCCAGCTGTCTCTTGTTTTAACTGTTTCTAACACACAGACACTTCAGCCAGGCCATTAACACCCACAAGGAAATGTAGATATTCCTGTTCTAAGAACAGGGTCACTCCAGGGCTTCTGTCCACTACTACTGTCTCTGCATATCATGTTTCCCAAATTATTGTTTATGGTTATCAAAACAGTCACACTGCTCTTTTCGTCTTTTTTGAGACAGGGTTTTGCTCTGTCGCCCAGGCTGGAGTGCAGTGGTACAATCACAATCACAGGTCACCCTAACCTTAAACCCTCAGCTCAAGCCATCTTCCACCTCAGCCTCCCAAGCAGCACGCCACCACAACAGGATAATTTTTACACTTTATTTTTGTAGAGATGGGGTCTCACTATGTTGCCCAGGCTGATCTTGGCCACAAGATCTCCTGGCCACAAGCGAGCCTACTGACTCGGCCTCTCAAAGCACTGGAATTACAGGTGTGAACCACTGCACCTGGCTTCACACTGCCCTTTACTAGCTGTATCAATTAACTCCCCTAGGTTCCAGACTTTCAGAAATCAGAAACTCAGCAACCTCCACCTTCAAGGACTGATTTCCATACCCCTAATGCTGCTGGGAGGGTGGGGGTGTCTCTAACCCTTTGCATCTTCTACTGAGTTGCTTGGTGCCCATCTGTCCTGTGTTATGATCTTCTAGGGGTTTTCCTAAGCTTTCTCATTGCATATGACATTACAATAACCTGAACTAGGAAAGAGCCAAAAGACAGGCATAAATAATGAATACTTTTTCACATTTTAAGTATAATTCTCTTTCGTTAATAAGTGACCTGATTTTCTTATCCTTCATTTTCTATATGCTTTTGTAGTATTTACATGCTAGGAGATATCTTTTTATAACACAAAAGGGGTCACACTGTATATATTGTTCTGTACCTTGTTTTGATAGTATCTTATTTTTTATAACACATTTAGATATTCTTATTTTTAATGACTGGTTAATAATTCACTGAATCCTAATGTATTTAACCTGTTCACCTTATTATTTTAAAATAAGAGTTACATGGTCTTTCCTGACTTGAATTTATTTCCTGGTTCCCTCAAAAATATTTTAGGTGTAATCGGCCAGGCGTGATGGCTCATGCCTGTAATCCCAGCACTTTGGGAGGCCGAGGCGGGCGGATCACGAGTTCAGGAGATCGAGACCATCCTGGCTGAAACAGTGAAACCCCGTCTCTACTAAAAATACAAAAAATTAGCCGGGCGTGGTGGCAGGCGCCTGTAGTCCCAGCTACTTGGGAGGCTGAGGCAGGAGAATGGCATGAACCAGGGAAGCGGAGCTTGCAGTGAGCAGAGATTGCGCCACTGCACTCCAGCCTGGGCGACAGAGCGAGACTCCGTCTCAAAAAAAAAAAAAAAAAAAATCTAGGTGGAGTTTTCATGCAAGGTCATCCCAATTGCCTGCTTTACTTTGCTTTGATTGCAGCACTGACAGTGAAGCAATGGCTCTAGATTAAAACTATTCTAGGCCAGGCACAGTGGCTCACACCTGTAATCCCAGCACTTTGGGAGGCAGAAGCAGGCGATCACCTGGGTAATGTGTACAAAAAATACAAAAAGTAGCTGATTTGGTGGCACATGCCTGTAGTCCCAGCTACTTGGGAGGCTGAGATGGGAAGATCACCTGAGCCCGGACAGGCTGTAGCTACAGTGAGCTATGATCATGCCACTGCACTCCAGCCTGGGTGACAGAGTGAGACCCTGTCTCAAAAAAATTAAAAAACTAAATATACATATATATATATATATATATGTACAATCATTCTAGTCACACAGTGAATATGATCAGATTACCTCCCTGCTTCTGTAAGGTATGGAAACACAATGTATGAACACAGAGGCTTCCCTCAACATCAGAAAACTAGAGGCAAGGGTACTGTTCTGAAGTGTTGGTGTTACTTCCACCCCCTTCAGAATGAGGATATGGCCCTGCAGATGCCAAGTTTGGCTCAAGGAGAAAAGGAATATTTCTCTGTATTCAGAAATATTCCCTAGGGCTGGGTGCAGTGGCTCAGGCTTGTAATCCCAGCACTTTGGGAAGCCTAGGCAAGAGGATCACTTGAGGCCAGGAATTTGAGACCAGCCTGGGCAACATTATGAGACCCTGTCTCTACAGCAAATAAAAAAATTAGCCGGGCGTGGTAGTGAGTGCCTGTGGTCCCATCTATTGGGGAGGCAGTGGTGAGAAGATTGCTTGAGCCCAGGAGGTCAAGCCTGCAGTGAGCTGCGATCGTGCCACTGCACTCCACCTTGGGCAACAGAGACCCTGTATCCAAACAAAAAACACACAAAAAAAACTTTCCTTAGTATCTAGTTATACCTTTTTCCTAATTATCAACATAAATTCTTCCTCATTAGTTAAATGAGCTCTAAATATTAAAGGAAATAGAAACATAAAAGGCATGGCTGGAATGGGGTTTTCAGAACTAGCTAGACATTGCCTTAGGACAGATACTGCTACCAGCAGCCGTGGAACTTCGTGAGGGTTCTCTGGAACCCAGGAAGGCTGAGACAAGAGTGCTCATGCTCTCATGGCTTTCGGGCCTCTGATAAATCCATGCTTTTAGTGTGGCGAATCAGGTCAGGGCAAGGTCCTGCCGGCCCAGTATGCATATCCTCTTCCAATGAGAATGACTTTGCCACTCTTCCCATCGAGAGGTACAATCACACTGGGCACAGTGGCTCACACCTGTAATCGCAGCACTTTGGGAGGCAGAGGCAGGCGATCACTTGAGCTTAAGAGTTCGAAACTAGCCTGGGCAATATGGCAAAACCCGTTCTCCACAAAAAATACACAAAATTAGCCAGGTTCAGCACCATGCGCCTGTAGTCCCAGCTACTGGGGAGGCTGGGGCAGGAGAATCACTTGAGCCCAGGAGGCAAAGGTTGCAGTGAGCTGAGATTGCGCCACTGTACTCCAGCCTGGGCGATGGGAGTGAAACCCTGTCACACACATACAAAAAAAGAGGTATAATAAATTCTTTAATTTTTCATCCCAGCTGTCCTTGTGACTTGCTTTGACCAATGTCACTTTACTGGAAGTAACATTATGTGACATCTGAGATGAGCCCTTAAGAAGCCTACAGCTTCTATGTTCATCTGTTAAGACCACAGGAAGCCAGTCCAGCCCAGAGCAGGATGAGCGACTAAATGGAGGAGAACCACATAGCCTCTGTTGACAGTTGGAACCAACTGCCAGAAAGCGGGAAGAGGCTTGCAGACCCTCCAGCTCAGTGCATCCTAAATGCAGGTCGAGTGATTCCGGGTGAAACCAACAGAAGAACTGCCTGATTAACCCACAGAATTGTTTTAAGCCACTGTGTTTTGGGGTGGTTTATATGGCAGTAATAGTTAACTGATACACTTGGCTAATTAAACGACCATATCGGGAGAAAATATGTTTTTTCCTCATTAATCCATATCCCACCTAAAATAACAATAACAAAAAAAGAGAGACTCAATGAATGATTGGAGTTTTCTTGCCAAGAAAATAAAAGAGTAGACAGGAGATAAACCATGCACAAAATTGAAAAAGAATGTGGGATTAGGAACAATCAAGTCATTTCTGAAATTATCTAGTGCTGCACTGTCCAATAAGGTAGCCACTGTCCACAGTGGCTATTTAAGTAAGTTAAAATTCAGTTCTTCAGTTGCTAGTCACATTTCAACTGTTCAGGTCACATGTGGCCAGCAGCTGTCCCACTAGACATCACACTAGGAGAACATTCCCATGATCACAGAAAGCAATGGATTGGACAGCACTCACTAGAATCTCCTTAACATAAAAAATTAGCCGGGTGTGGTAGTGAGTAGGCACTACTGAGTTTGAAAAACAATCAGGGAAGAGACTGGGCCTGGTAGCTCATGCCTGTAACCTCAGCACCTTGGGAGGCTGAAGTGCAGTGATTTCTTGAGCCCAGGAGTTCGAGACCAGCCTGGGCAACGTAGTAAGATTCTGTCTCTACAAAAACTGAAAAAAAATTATATGGGCATGGTGGCACAAACCTGTAGTCCCAGCTACCCAGGAGGCTGTGAGAGGACTGCTTGAGCCTAGGAGGTCAAGGCTGCAGTGAGCCAAGACTGTGCCACTACACTCCAGACTGGGCAACAGAGTGCCCTGTCTCAATAAATAAATAAATAAATAAATAAAACAAACAAACAAAACCCCAAGCAGGTTGAAATTCATTCATTTGGCTACGTAATATGTCTGCAAGCCACTTTTATTGACGAGACAAGAATGAGTGAATTTATGTAACAATTCTGTCCAGTAGCAAAACATTTTCTAATTTAGGCACAATATATGTGAGGATAACCTTTACCCAAAAAAAGAAAAGGAATACTTTCAATGAGGATTTGATTCTAATGGCACCTCAAAATTAAAAGTCATACATAAAAATCTGTCAAATACAAAATCGACTCATGAAAACTTAAGTTCTTACACAAACGCACACGGGAAATCTGAATGAAGTCCTGCTTCTTATACCTGGATTAACAGGCTTGTACACAGCCCTGGAATTACGGACTTTTAAATCAGCAGAGACAATGGAAAACACCAGTCATGCCCCACCCAATGAAACACCTCAAAATAGAGAGAAGAGACTTCCCACTGTGTTGGAGAGACTGCCAAAGGCAGAGCCCTGTGCCCAGCACCCTGCGCTCTTACTTGATGAATAAAGTCCATAAGAAAAGAGTGAGCTTTCATCTTGTCTTCTAGCTGGTGAAGGATAATCAGTGACGTATTGCTGAACCCAGGTGCTTCTGTTAAAACACAGTGATAAAACTTAGAACATAGTGGTTTTACAACTATACTATTTTAATATCAGTGGCTAACTGCTATTAAAATAAAAAGCTAAGGCTAGGCACGGTGGCTCACACCTGTAATCCGAGCACTTTGGGAGGTCGAGGTGGGCAGATCACGAGGTCAAGAGATCGAGACCATCCTGGCAAACATGGTGAAACCCGATCTCTACTAAAAATACAAAAATTAGCTGAGCGTGGTGGCGCATGCCTGTAGTCCCAGCTACTCAGGAGGCTGAGGCAAGAGAATTGCTTGAACCCGGGGAGGTGGAAGTTGCAGTGAGCCGAGATTGCGCCACTGCATTCCAGCCTGGCGACAGAGCGAGACTCGGTCTCAAAAAAGAAAAGGGAAAAAAAAAAAAAGTCTATACAAAATAAAAATATCAACCTTACAATACAGTTGTTTATAACGTTACTCAGGAGTTTTAAAAATTTAAGAGTAAATTTTGGAGGTTTGATACAATTCATACTGTATTTATTCAAAATGCAAAATACGTTTTTAGTTTAATCATTTGTAACAATTTAAGCTTGACAGTGCCAACAAAAACAGTCAAAGAAAGGAGATGAGCTCTCATGTTTTCTTCCTAAATCTCTAATGGAGCTTAGTGAACTTGCTAAGAAGTAGGATAATTAGGGAGAGAAACATGTTTGAGACAGTTCCCTGGTATCTGGGGACCCCAGAGTTCCCCTCGAGTTTCTGAGGTGGAAGTAAGAGTAAGAGGGGCAGTCACCTGGGACAGGCAGCTAGACATGTCTTGTCCACTTCTACATATTGACATTTGATCACTGCTGCTCTTAGGGGAATGGATCATTTCTATTAGTCAAATATACTGATTATGCCAAAATTATCATTTAATTTGGGGGTAAGTAGGCTGGGTGTGGTGGCTTACACCTGAAATCCCAGCACTTTGGGAGATCAAAGCGGGTGGACCACCTGAGGTCAGGAGTTCAAGACCAGCCTGGCCAACATGGTAAAACTACATCTCTACTAAAAATACAAAAATTAGCTGGGCATGGTGGTGCACACCTGTAATCTCAGCTACTCAGGAGGCTGAGGTGGGAGTATCACTTGAACCCAGGAGGTGGAGGTTGCAGTTAGCTGAGATCGTGCCACTGCATTCCAGTCTGGGTGACAAAGTAAGGGAGACCCTGTTTCCAAAAAAAAAAAACAAAAAAAAAAACTGGGATTGGGGGGCAGGTAAGTGCCAACTGTCTACCTATGCAACCAATTTTCTTTTAGAAATAAAAGCCAGGAAAGCTAAGTAAGGCAATTAATCTGCCTTGGATAGAACAATTAGGATTTGCTCCAATGTTCCTTTAGTTTCCATTCTGTTATCTAGACCTGTTCTGACCCTTTTTCAAAACATACTATAAGGAAGGTTACCTGGCCGGGCCTGGTGGCTCACACCTGTAATCCCAGCACTTTGGGAGGCCGAGGTGGGTGGATCACGAGGTCAGGAGATCAAGACCAACCTGGCTAACACAGTGAAACCCCGTCTCTACCAAAAATACAAAAAAATTAGCCAGCCATGGTGGCGGGCACCTGTAGTCCCAGCTACTCGGGAGGCTGAGGCAGGAGAATGGCGTGAACCTGGGAGGTGGAGCTTGCAGTGAGCCAAGATCGCGCCACTGCACTCCAGCCTGGGTGACAGAGCCTTGCTCTGTCTCAAAAAAAAAAAAAAAAAGGAAGGTCACAATATTTTAAAAAATATTGAATTAATATTAAATTGTTTGAGAAGCTAAAAAATATGCTTTAAGAGATGCTTCTAATAAAGAAACCAGAATATGTTCAAAACACACCGTTCCATAATTGAAACATTCTTACCCTCAGGGACAGACTCAGCCCACCGTGGGTCAGATGCTGGGTAGTCATCCATCAGGTCTACACTGATTTGGGTAACTGCCCTGTCTAGTTCAGAATCAGAATCCAAATCAGAGTGAGAGGAAAAGAGCTCATCAACCACCATTTGAGCATGACCTAAATCTTTTCTGAAATAAAATTGGAAAACACAAGTATTAAGGGAGGCAAAATATTTTCAAAACTCACCAAGAAAAAATTAATTATGGACTACTATTCAGCCAAAAAAAAGAATGCGATCCTGTCATTCGCAACAGTAGGGATGGAACTGGAGGACATGTTAAGTGAAATAAGTCAGGCACGAAAGACATGTAACAAACTTTACATGTTCAATAATTTAGTGTACATTTTAAAGTAACTAAGAGCATAATTAGAATGTTCACAACATACAAAAAAGATGAATGCTTGAGGTGACGGATATCCCATTTACCCTGATGTGATTATTACGCATTGTATGCCCGTATGAAAATATCTCATGTACCCCACAAACGTATACACCTACTATGTACCCATAAAAATAAAAAAAAAATTTTAAGTTAATTGTGAAGTTAAATGTAACCTAAAAACCATTTATAGGTTTTGGCTCAAAGTTACTTTTAATAAAATTTATTTAATTAAAAGGGAGAAAACTATTATCCATTCATTAATTCAATAAATACACATTGAATACTTAGAACATGCTCGGCTCTGGACACAGAAAGATAAAAAGACTTAAAAATAGTCCAGACAATTGAGCAAGCAATGACACAGGTGATAAACACCGAGAGAGACAGGGAAAACTTCCTAACAGGTAAAGAGGAGGTCATGGAAGGCTGGGGAGAACTGGGGGAGGGGTATACAGCTGCACACAGAACATACATCCACATCCGTCCGCAAGTAAGCCTCTATCTCAGGAGAGAACTGAGGCTACGGGAGAGGCTGAGATCACCCAGGGAGCAAGAGTTTGGAAAAAACTTGCAGGATAACCAATTAAAGGAAGGGTAAGCCCATAAAAAGCAGCAGACTCTTCTAACTTAGAGAGATTAGGGGACAACTAGGGTGTCAATGAACCCACCAGGGGATTAACTATGGCACACATGAAGAAACGAGGGATACTGAGAAGGGATGAATCACAAAATTAGAGGACACGGTCTTGTAAACCATGTTATGGGGTTTGAACCTAATACCAAGGACAATGGACAGGCACTGTAAAGGAGTGTCACAGTCTGTTCCAGTGTCCCAAAAGATTGCTCTATCATATGGAGAGGGGATCAGATGTCAGATCAGACAAGAGAAAAATCCAGTTAGGAGGTTACTGCAGAAAGGAAAAGACAGGAAAGAGAAAAATCCAGTTAGGTTACTGCTGGATCTGATGTACAGTAGTCCCCTCTTATTCATGGTTTCACTTCCCACAGTCACAGTTACCTGCAGTCAACTGCAGTCTGAAAACAGATGACAGAGACAGAGAGAGAGAGAGAGACCAACCACACTCACATATTTTTATTACAGTACAGTCATCTCTCAGTATACACAGGGGATTAGTTACAGGACCCCCAACATACACCAAAATCCACCCATATTCAAGTCCTGCAGCTGGCTCTGTGGAGCTCCAGCATACAAAAAGGCGACCTTCTGCATAAGCAAGTGAATTTCTGATCCGCATTTGGTTGAAAACATGCTGTGAATTTTTGATCCGCATTTGGTTGAAAACAGCCTGCATATTATGTAGACCCACACAGTTCAAAGCCGTGTTGTTCAAAGGTCAATTGTATATTGTTACGGTTGTTTTATTACTATTGTTCTTAATCTCTTAGGATGCCCAATTTATAAATTAAACTTCATCATAGGTACTATAGGAAAAACGTATATATATGATTCAGTACTATATGCAATTTCAGGTATCCACTGGGGGTCTTAAGACATATCCCCCTGTGGGTAAGGGGGAACAACTGTATAAGAATGACTCCTCTGTTGTTGCTTTGAACTGAAGAGATGGTAGTGCTTGTCACTGGAGCAGGGGGTAAGGATGGAAGAATAAGCTTTGGAGAAGATAAGCTCGGTTTTGGATACGTTGAAACTCAAGTGCCTATGAAATATGTACTGCTGCTGGACACTCTCCATTTTCACATAATGGCCCGGGTCATGGTACATCTGTTTCTTCAGCAAATGAAGCCAAGGAGGAGAAAAGATCACCGAGGGAGTAGACAGAGAGGGAATGTGGTCGACAACTGAGAATGTAGACATCCTTTCAGGTGGTTTAGCCATCAACAGGAACAAACAGATAAGGTGGTAACTCAAAGGACGCAAAGTCAAAGACTGGTCTTTTTACAAATGGCAGACTAAATATGATTAATTGCTGATGAGAAGGAGCCAGCACGAGAAAGGTCAAAGGACAGAGGAAAGGGAGAACTGAAAGGATGTAGTCTTAAGTGAAGCAGGAGAGAGTGGCCTTCAAAACAAAGAGCAGTCTCTGATAGGAAGAAGAGTACACTTCCTACTTTATTGGGAGGGAAAGAGGAACAGGATTTGGGATCCAGATACATTCATAGCTAGTAAGCTAGGAGGTACAGGGAGCTCTTATCAAGGGCTTCTGTGATCTCTGTGAAGTAGGAAGTTAAGTCCTCTGCTAAGTCTGAGGGAAGTGGGAGGAGACTGGAAAAGGGCTGTCATGGTCCCTTGGTAGAACAGGAGACACAGCTGACTGGAGAAACGCAGAAAAACTCTTGAAAGCGTGAAAGGCCAGGGTGAAGCTGGTGACCCAGTCACGCTACAGGTTATGAAAATACAAAGGTGACTATGGCAAGATTTAATAAAAAATTACAGAAAAAGTTCCCCAAAACTCTCATGAACAAAAGATTTAGTGTTTTTTGGGCTAAATAAAATGAAAACCAAAATAACATAAAAATCAATTTCAAAGAAATGATGCTATAAAAACAGTAATATTACCTTAGCAAAAGATTAAACAGACAGTCACACTTAAAAGTGTTATCTACCAATTGTGACCCCAGGGGCCATCTGGCAATGTCTGACGATAACTTTGGGCATCACAAGTTGGGGGAAAGGGTGCTAATGGCATCTAGCAGGAAGTGGCTGGTGATGCTGTTAAACAGCTTACAATGCACCGCTGGAGTGCGGTGACGGGATCTCGGCTCACTACAACCTCCGCCACCTGGGTTCAAGCGATTCTCCTGCCTCAGTCTCCTGAGTAGCTGAGATTACAGGCATGTGCCACCACACCCAGCTATTTTTTTTTTTTTTTTTTTTTAAGAAGAGACAAGGTTTCACCATGTTGGTCAGGCTGGTCTCGAAGTCCTGATCTCAAATGATCTGCCTGCCTTGGCCTCCAAAGTACTGGGATTACAGGTGTGAACCATCACACCCGGCCTCAAATGACAATGTTAATGGGGTTGAGAAATCCAGCTTTAAAGGCACCACAATTCTGTTTGTAAGGAGTCTACATCTTTAAGAGAGCTAGCTGACACTCCCCCAGAAATCATCCCTTATTAAGTCCATAGTACTTCACCCATGTTGGGCAGGATGAGTTCAGCACAGCTGTGCTACAGGGCCCATGACACTGTTCCTGAGGGTACTGCTTGCTCAGGACTTAGATCAGGGGTCCCTTCTTGTGCCTAATAATTTTCCCCTGTAAAACATCTTAAGATGACTACACCAGGTTGAATAGTGTCTCCCACAAATTCATATCTACCCAGTGCCTCAAAATGCAACCTTATTTGGAAATAAGGTTTTTGCAGATACAATTTGTTAAATTATGATGAGTCTAAATCCAATGACTGATGTCCTTATAAGAAGGCCACGTGGGCTGGGCATGGTGGCTCACACCTGTAATCCCAGCACTCTGGGAGGCTGTGGTGGGTGGATCTTGAGTCCAGGAGTTTGAGCCCAGCCTGGCCAACATGGTGAAACCTCGTCTCTATTAAAAATTCAAAAAATTAGCCGGGCATGGCAGTGTGCACCTGCTGCTTGGGAGGCTGAGGCAGAAGAATTGCTTGAACCAGGGAGGCAGAGGTTGCAGTGAGCCGAGATCACACCACTGCACTCTGGCCTGGATGACAGAGTGAGACTCTGTCTCAAAAAAAAAAAAAAAGGCCATGTGAATGTGAGGACAGCTACGTGACAATGGAGGCAGAAACTGGAGTGACACATCTACAAACCAAGGATTGCTAGCAGCCACCCGGAGCTGAGAGAGGTGAAGACAGATCCTTTCTCAGAGCTTTCAGAGGGAGGGCCCTGCTCATGCCTCGCTCTCAGACTTCTGGCCTCCAGAACTGTGAGAGAAGACACTTGCGTTGTTTGAAGCTCCTGGCTTGTGGTGATTTGTTATGGCAGCCACAGGAAACAAATCTAATGACTGGTCACTTGCTGCATTATCATTTACATTTTGAGATGCCACAAATGTGACAGAATTTTAATTACAGGATAAACTTGTGAAAGATAAAAACACAGTACTTCAACTGAGATTTTTGAAGACTGAACCATGTAAAAGAACAAGATTAAAAGAATATAATTTTAAACAGAAACAAAAAACTTGCCTAATGGTGCCCCCTTCTGGTGACAAACTAAGCTCAGTAGATCACGAGGTACAGAATGTTAGAACTGTAAAAGCACTTTGGAATCTGTTGTCTCTGTGAGTGAGCCGCTATGCATCAGACACCAGTATGAGTGGGATTATGGAACCATGGGCTCAGAACTGGGGGAAATGAAGGTAGTACACTCAGTATATTCCTTCAAAACAAAGATCTGACGATAAACTAATGATCCTTTAGCCATGCTAACTCCCACCCCACTCAATACTTCGAAAAGGAAGAAACAGAAACACAATGGCAGAAATGTTCAGCATCTGTCCAAAGTTTCCCACAGCTAACAAGGGGCAGAGCAGGGGGGCTGGATCACCATTTTCCTGAGTATTTATTCAAATGTGAATTTGCCATACCTTTTAAGGAAAGTACCAGAATACATGAGCAGAATACATGTCTAAGATAAACTGAAATCTGCATTTGCCTTAAACCCAGAAGAGTATTAGAGCAGCAAGTGTGACCAAGTGAGGACAATCACTCCCCACCCCATACGCGCATCTGCTTAGGCACGCTCTCACTACAGCTGGACTTGCTCTGGCCAACAGGACACTAGCAAACGCCATCCAAGCAAAGACTTAAAGAGTGTGCACTGACACTTGTTCTCTTGCCACTCTAGAACCCTGTGATACATGAATAAGCCCAGGGCAGCCTGCTAGTTGAGGAGACATCACAGGAATAGAGAGCGAGCTGGCCAGCCTATGGCCCAGAAATGTGAGTACGGTAAAGAGCAGCCAGCCCAGCTGCAGACCAAAATGAGTGAGCCTACTCCGAAAAGTAAAACTGCCCCGAGTCCAGCCCCAACAGTCAAACTGCAGAATTGTCAGCTATGTTAAATGAGTCACTAAGGTTTGTGGTGATTTTGCGTAAAGCAAAACTCAACTAATAGGCCAGGTCTAATTCTTTTGCTTTTTTTGAGACAGGGACTTGATCTGTCACTCAGGCTAGAATGCAGTGGTGTGATTATGGCTCACAGTAGACTTGGCCTCCCGGGCTCATATGATCCTCCCAACTCAGCCTCTGAGTAGCTGGGACTAGAGGCGTGCATCACCATGCCCGGCTAATTATTTTTAAAATTTTTCTTTGTAGAGATGAGGTCTATGTTGTCCAGACTGGTCTCGAACTTCCGGGCTCAAGAGATCCTTCTGCCTCAGCCTCCCAAAGTGCTGGAATTACAGGTGTGAGCCACCACACCAGGCCATAATTCTTTAATATTACCAATAAAACTTTGCATGCGGCTGGAAGTGGTGGCTCACGCCTGTAATCCCAGCACTTTAGGAGTCAGCCTAAAATCAGGAGTTTGAGACTAGCCTGGCCAACATGGTGAAACTCCATCTCTACTAAAAATAAAAAAATTAGCTAGGTGTAGTGGTACACGCCTGCAGTCCCAGCTACTTGGGAGGCTGAGGCAGGAGAATCGCTTGAACCCGGGAGGCGGAGTTTGCAGTGAGCCAAGATCGCGCCACTGCACTCTAGCCTGGGCGACGGAGTGTCTCAAAAAAAAAAAAAAAAAAAAAAAAACTTTGTAAGCAACTTATTTGCACCTTAACGTTATACGTAAAAGACCCTTGCAAGATGTCTTCATGATCACCATTTTTAATGGTACATTGTTTTTCATGAAGTGGAGAGAGTATGTTAGAGCCCATGTTTTTTCCCTAACCTAGCTAGCTGGAACCCTCCCATGGCTACTAAGTTCAGAAGAACAGTTTATTAAAGTGCTAAAGCTCAAAAAAACATTCTCCTCTTGATAGCATCATTCCTCCAACTTGCTCCCACCAGTCAATAAGTAGCACATGTCAGTAAAACATATCCTCACACATAAAATAATCCATAATTTAAAAAACATGTTATACCTGCAGTATTGCAGAAAGGCAGCTTTCAGCAACTTGATTTTATCTTCCTGGGCTATAGTTTCATTCTTTGTAGTGGTCTCAAAAATCATACTCTGCAAAATAACAAAGTATAGTTTAGAGGTAAAGGCATCTGAATATTCTTAATTATTGGACTAAAAACTGCACCCATCCTATGATAGCAACTCCGCATATACACGAGCTGTTTGCCGTATTGTCTGTACCAGGGGTGTCCAATCTTTTGGCTTCCTTGGGCCACACTGGAAGAATCGTCTTGGCCCACACATAAAATACACTAACATTAATGATAGCTGATGAGTTAAAAAAAAAAAAATTTATGTTTCAAGCAAGTTTACGAATTTGTGTTGGGCTGCATTCAAAGCCATCCTGGGCCGCATGCAGCCCATGGGTTGTGGGTTGGACAAGCTTGGTCCATACCAATTATTCATATACTTATTGAAACACTATAAATAGCATCAAATGATCAACCAAAGTCATACAGAAAAGGTACAGGTAATTCAGGGATTATGTTGTAAGTAAAATAATTTGGACATTTCATCATAATTAACAGAATCTTTTTATAGGTTTGCTCTTACACGACTCATCACAGTGTATACTACCTAAGCATAATGGTTGATTACAAATTTAAACAACGGTTTAGAAAAATTTTAAAGAAATGGAATACTATAAAATTGCTTCAGAATGTATAACAGTATTATAATAACCATACAATTACAAAATAGATATTAATCCTTTTTTGTAATCGTATTAATTACAAAATACAAGGTATTTTGTACTTTGTATAATTTTGTATAATTACAAAATACAAAATGCAAGGTATTAATCCCTTTTGTGAAAAGAAAAAAAAGTTAAAAATTGTTTCTTTCCTTTAAAACTACACTTAATCACTTTAATTTGAATTACAGAGGTAGTCTATATATTTCATACACTATTCAAATGGAAATTACCCCAAACAGTATTAATTATTTTTAGTCTTCTGTAAAAGAATGATAAAAATCTTATGGATAGGATATTTCAGGTTTCAAGACAACAGAATAAAATTGGTAATTTTTACCTGGCTATTCCTCTCAAAAAATCATCCCAGAATAAAAAGAAACAGAAATACAAGCTCCTTGGAAATATCTGTGATACTAACTACAACAAAGGAAGATAGAAAGCAGAAGGAATGGGAAATGGCCCCGCTGACAGGAGATGAGGCCACCTATGCATGGTGCAGAGGACAGGTCCTGAGGATTTGAGGACAATAGAAAAGGGAAGTTCTGGGATGACAGCTGTGCAGATGGAAGGTTTCTGGAGACTTGACTTTGGGAAAAACTACATTGAGGGGCACTCTACAGAACTCCTGGAGTGTGTAAAAAGATTAAGTCACATATGAAAGGAAAGTGAGAAAATACAAAACGAGGTCATTATACACTCCAAGAGTCACACAAAGTTCTATAATAAAGGACATGTAATCAGTATTTGGGATCAGCAAACCATAAACAATATTTACATTGTCATTACAATGAAAAAAATTTATGTTAGAATGATAAAGGCAGAGGAAGGAGTATAAGGTAACCCAAAACCTCATTTTCTGTAGTAGAAAATCAACAGATGCATCAGGAGACAGGAATATATGTACATTACTTAGATATATGGAGAAAAATACCAGAATAAATCACTAAAAGGCTTAAATGTAGTTGCTCCAGGCAAAGAGGACAGAAGGGATGAGGAAGATAAAAAGAACTAATGTCTGCATCATTACGTCTTTGAAAACTGTCTCAGTTTTGAGACCATTTGTATAAAATAATCTGATAAAACTAAAAATTAGGCTGGGCATGGTGGCTCCACGCCAGTAATCCCAGCACTTTGGGAGGCCGAGGCGGGAGGATTCTTGAGCCCAGGAGTTTGAGACCAGCCTAGGCAACATAAGGAGATCCTGTCTCTACAAAAAATAAAAAATTAGCCAGGTGAGATGGCGCATGTCTGTAGTCCCAGCTATTTAGGAAGTTAAGAGGGGAGGACTGCTTGATCCCGGGAGGTTGAGGTGAGGCTGCAGTGAGCTATGATTATGCCACTGCACTCTAGCCTGGGCAACAGAGTGAGACTCTGTCTCAAAAACCAAACCAAACCAAAAAACAAAAAATTAGCCAGGCACCTACTGGGAAGTCTGAGGCAGGAGGATTGCTTGAGGCCAGGAGTTTGGGGCTGCAATGAACTACGACTGTGCCACTGCACTCTAGCCTGGGTGACAGCGTGAGACACTATCTCTAAAAAATAAATAACATAAAAACTTCAAATTCTTATCGAATCACATTACCTCACTGTTTGGTCCAGCAACTGAAGATGCTAAAGACCCTTCCAAGTCTTCTGCCAATATAGACACATTTTCCCTTGAAGTAATAGACACCAGTCCACTGTTTCTAGAAAAAATGATAGGAACACCACCACAGGCACCAGCACCTAAAACACTATCTCCTAAAAGAAAGGAAAACAGAGTCAAATACATCTAACAATAACAACAAAATGCTATGTAAAAGCTACCACCCTAAGCAGAAAATCATCTTGATGATATATTAAGCACATTTTTTCCTTTACAACATTAGTCCTACTTCGAACTCATCCTTTACATCCCAGAATCAAATGCTAAGAACCGGTTGCTATCTGAAGAAGCAGGCTCTGTGTCTTTCAGCTTTAAGGACAATAAAAACTAGCCTTGCCAGACAGCAGTCAGTCTAGTAAGCCAAAAAAGAAAATTATTCCTTCTGCAAAACTCAGAAGAAGAGCTTTTTCAATCCTGTGGAGTTCTCTTAATTCTGACTTTAACTTACCACATCAGTCAATGGGGACTGGAAAAAAAAAAAAAAAAAAAAGGTCTAAGCCTACCTGGCACCTTAGTAACATCCTACCCACCCTCTGTCAAGGTTCTTGTGCTGGGACTAGAAAACCTGGGTTCCATGCTGTTGCCTACCTGCACTCTGTCCTCTGCCCAACCCCTTCAGCTAAGTATCTGCTTGGTTCTTCTTCAATCCTGACCAGCCCCCCTGCATAAGTCCAGCACCTGAAGCTCTTCTTATCTAGGGGTGTGGAAAAGTTAAAGCATCAACTCAGAATATGTCACTTTTACTAACTAGGAATAAGCAATTACTTCTCTTGGCAATAGTTTTTTGCTTCTTGGCATCTTCTCCTGGAACAAATGTTACTATCTTTGTCTGTAAATATAATAGTTTGGAAATTCTAGTACCCTTTTGGTTTCTTAGTAGGGTTATGGCTTCAGCTGCTGTAGTTGTGGTATGAAATGTCTCAGAAACATTTGAAAGCAGCATGCTTGAAGTGACATTCAGGGAAAGAGAAAAAAAGCACTCAGAATGACTAATGAGCTCACCAATCATGCTTTCTAAAACTGCTACTGTACCTTGTGCATTAAAGACAATTTTCTCCTGGGGAAGAGAAAATTTCCCAGTTCCTGTGGAGCACACATAGACAGCACTTTCGTTATACAGATAGGCAGTCTGGTTTGAAAAGTTTGGGACCGTCAACTGACACAAAATCAGGTCTTCAGACTGAAAGTTAAATTTAAGATTACATTTAACAAGAAGTAAAACAAAAATATTTGTATGATTTTTTAAATTCATTTTTGTACATTATTTCATAAAAATATTTCACCAATTCTCTTTGTAAAAATCTGAACACTACCCATGAGATGATTAACAAAACATGACAGAGTAAGTTTATAAACATCAATTAGACATATATTTTGTTGACTTGCTTATAATTTGCTTTTTTAATTTTTTTTTTTTTTTTTTTTTTTGAGACAGAGTCCCACTCTGTTGCCCAGGCTGGAGGGTAGTGGTGCAATCTTGGCTCTCTGCAACCTCTGCTTCCCAGGCTCAAACAATTCTCCTGCCTCAGCCTCCTAAGTAGCTGGGATTACAGGTGCATGCTACCATGCCCGGCTAATTTTTTTGTATCTTTAGTAGAGATGGGGTTTCACCATGTTGGCCAGGCTGGTCTTGAACTCCTGACCTCAGGTGATCCACCCACCTCAGCCTCCCAAAGTGCTGGGATTACAGGCGTGAGCCACCGCACCTGGCCTAAATTGTTAATTTCCAAAATTAACAAATTTGGAAAACATTTCCATGATGATGACTATAACTAGAAGCCTATGATAAATTCAAAGGAGAAAATGAAAGCACTAAAATTCGTTATATTAAGAATTGGCAATTTTTTATAAATATTCCCTGATAAACAAACATTTTTGTTCTTACCTTACTGCCAAGATATTAATGACAAGAAAACTTAGTTGATTTGTTTACATATAAAATCAGAGGGAGAAATAAAAATAAATCTCATTAAATAAAATTAGAATATGCTAAAAATGATAAGCTGTTATTAAAGAAGTAATTTTACAGAAATATTAAATGCGAGGTCCTAGAATTGTTTTTTAATCCTCAAATTCTCTTTATAGTCTTCTGCCCTGGCTGAAATTTTTTCTAACACTGAGCATGTTTTCCACACTGCATAATCAGAACACATGATAAAGTTTATTTCTGTTTGGCATAAAAGAACAAATCAAAAGATTTTCTTACAGGATTCAATTAAACAAGTCATGTTAAGAGTAAGGATCAAAAAAAAAAAAAAAGTAAGAATTTAAGCCAGGAACGGTGGTGCACACCTGTAATCCCAGCTACCTGAGAGGACTGCTTGAGACCAGGAGTTGGAGGCTACCGTGCACTCTGATGGACCTGTGAATATCACTGCACTCCAGTCCAAGCAACACAGCAAGACTTTATCTCTTCAAAAAATAAACAAACAAGGATTTAACAGAATTAGATACTATGTAAGAGTAAATAAAATGAATTTATAGATGTTCAGGTTCTTCCTCATGAATACCAGTTATTAAACATGTTTAATTGCTATTAATGAACTTAAAATTGGAAAGCCTGTCTTCCAGTCATTTACAAGAACTTTGATGACTACAGAACACTGCTGAATACAAATATAATCTTCCTTTGGGTAAAAAGGAGGATTTTTCTATAGTATACAAGGCTCTAAACCAAACCCTAATTCCTACCAGTTTTCTTCCTTCCTTTTTCTTTTTCTTCTTTTTTTAGGATGGAGTCTCATTATGTTGCCTAAGCTGGAATGCAGTGGTTATTCACAGGTGTGAATATGGTACACAACAGCCTCAAACTCCTGGGCTCAAGTGATCTTCCTGCCTCGGCCTGTTGAGTAGCTGGGACTAGAGGCATGTACTCATCATGCCCAGCTTGGTTTCTTCCTTACTTTCACCCTGGAATTAATCAATACCTTCTTTCTACCTAAATACAGACATGACAATCCCTCCAAAGATCTAGAGCAGAAGAAACAAACTGCTTTCTGCTAGTTGCTTCCATTCTCATTTTTCTTTAGTCAAAACTAAGCAAAAGAACAAGCCTGAGATGGCAAAGAAAATGCAACAATGTCTAGAAACAAGCTATTTTAAAATATTTCCAAGCCCTGCAGATGAAATCTGTCACGAAATTTGACCCTGAAATGGGCCACGCAAGGTGGCTCACACCTGTAATCCCAATATTTTGGGAGGCCAAGCTGGGGGAATCACTTGAGGTCAGGAGTTTGAGACCAGCCTGGCCAACATGGTGAAACCCTGTCTCTGCTAAAAATATAAAAATTAGCTGGGCATGGTGGCACATGCCTACAGTCCCAGCCACTCGGGAGGCTGAGGCAGGAGAACCACTTGAACCTGGAAGGGGAGACAGAGGTTGCAGTGAGCTGAGATCAAGCCACTGCACTCCAGCCTGGGTGACAGAGCAAAACTCTTTCAATAAATAAATAAGACCCTGAAATGGTTAGAAAAATACTCAACATATTATTGCTTTGTAATTTAACCAATATAAATCTTACCTGAAAAGGTGGATTATATTGAGTGACTTCTACAGTAACTGCATCTGACATTTGGCAACCATTATCTTCTATTGTTATCAGAGAGTAATAGATGAGACATGGATTGTCTGCTGAGTGCCATGCTGCTGCCAAAATCACCAGCCCATCACTAATCAATAAAAAAGGAAGATGTAAAGCCTCTCTAAAAAACAACTTAGGAGTTTCCTATAAAATTAAACATATGCTTCCATATAACTTAGCAATCCCATTCGTGGACACCTATCCAAGAGAAAATTTAAAAACAGAAACAGAAAACCAATAACTGTGTTCACACAAAAACCTGTGTACAAATGACTGTAGTGGCTTTATTCATAATTGCCTAAAACTGAAAACAACCCAATGTCTTCCAAGTGCTGAATAGATAAACAAACTGTGGTATATCCATACAAAAGAACACTATTCAGTAGTAAAAAAAAAAAAAAAAAATACTGAATGAATTTGAAGTGTATTATGCTAAGTGACAGAAACCAGACTCAAAAGGCTTTACACTGTATGTTCCATTTCTATGACATTAAGCAAAAGGCAAAATATAGGGACAGAAACCACATCAGTGATCTCCAGGGGCTAGAGGATGGAGGGGTCGATTACAGAAAGCACAAGGGAATTTGGGGGGTTATAAAACTGTTCTGTATTGATTGTTACGGTTAAATGACTAAATTGTGTATCTGTCAAAATTTGTAGAATTAGGGCCAGGTGCGGTGGCTCACGTCTGTAATCCCAGCACTTTGGGAGGCCAAGGTGGGCACATAACCTCAGATCAGGAGTTCAAGACCAGCCTGGCCAACGTGGCAAAACCATCTCTATAAAAATTAGTCAGGCATGGTGGCACATGCCTGTTGTCCCAGCTACTTGGGAGGCTGAGGCAGAAGAACTCTTGAACCCGGGAGGTGGAGGTTGCAGTGAGCTGAGATCGCACCACTGCACTCCAGCCTGGGCGATAGAGTGACACCCCATCTTAAAAAAAAAAAGAAAAAAAAAACAACTTGTGGAATTATAAACTAAAGAGGGTAAGTTTTACTCTATATAAATTATAGCTCAATAAATCTGACTTTAAAAAAAGATCAAAACAACCATCTGATCCAGGGATTGGCAAAGTACAGCCCTCCAGTGAAACTGATCTCAAACCAGTTTTTATAAATGAAGTTTTGTTCGAAGGCAACCATACGCATTTATTTATGTATTTTCTAGGGATGTTTCATGATACCATTGGTGAAATAGAGTAGTTGCAGTAAAGACTACATGGCCGCCAAAGCCTAAAACAGTTACTTTTGGCCCTTTACAGAAAAGGTTTGCCAATCCCTGATGTACTCAGTTATTTAAAGCTTACTTGCTTTTGTCCAGAGGAAAAACATTTTTAAAAAAGTTTTACCTCCAGACACGATGGCTCACACCTGTAATCCCAACACTTTGGGAAGCTGAGATAGGAGGATCATTTGAGCCCAAGAGTTCAAGACCAGCCTAGGCAACACTGTGAGACCATATATCTCTAAAATAAATTTAAAAGGCCAGGTGTGGTGTTTCACACCTGTAACCCCAGCACTTTGGGAGGCCGAGGTGGGCATATCACTTCAGGCCAGGAATTCGAGACCAGCCTGGCCAACATGGCAAAATCCCATCTCTACTAAAATACAAAAGTTAGCCCAGCATGGTGGCGTGTGCCTGTAATCTCAGCTACTCGGGAGGCTGAGGCATGAGAATCACTTGAACCTGCGATGCAGAGATTGCAGTGAGCCAAGCTCATACCACTGCACTCCAGCCCGGGCAACAGTGTGAGACTCTAACTCAAAAAAAAAATAATTTTAGGCCAGGCATAGTGGCTTATGTGTTTAATCCAAGCACTTTGGGAGAGGCTGAAGCAGGAGGATCGCTTGAGCCCAGTAGTTCAAGACCAAACAGGGCAACCCTGTCTCTAATGTTTAAAAACAAACATATATATTTAAAATGCTTTTTAGCCATTGGTTATAGAAATTTCAAACTGCTATATATGTAAAAACAAACCATTTTGCATCTTAAAGCTTATTTGTTCCTTAAGTCTAGCAAACTTGTTGCTCCCAATAAATTAAATGGTTCCTATTTTAGCTCTTCTAAAACATCTAATACTACTACTAGCAACATTTTTTTTTTTTTTTTGAGGCGGAGTTTCACTCTTGTTGCCCAGGCTGCAGTGCCGGGGCGTGATCTCGGCTCACTGCAACCTCCGCCTCCTGGGTTCAAGCAATTCTCCTGCCTCAGCCTCCCGAGTGGCTGGGATTACAGGCATGCGCCACCACACCTGGCTAATTTTTGTATTTTTAGTAGAGATGGGGTTTTTCCATGTTGGTCAGGCTGGTCTCAAAGTCCTGACCTCAGGTGATCCGCCCACCTCAGCCTCCCAAAGTGCTGGGATTACAGGCACGAGCCACTGCGCCCGGTCCTATTACTAGCAACTTTCATTCAAGTCTCAAAAAGATTAAAAGGGTGGCAAAGCACCCTCTACTGACAACTAAAAATAAGAAACCAAGCATGTAACTAAATGACATGACACTTCAAAGCAAGGAATCCTAGCACGGCTCATTTTCCTTCTTCACGGTTCTCTTCCCCCAGCTCCCCAAACTTTATCACTTCTGCTTGGACTCTTGAAAGGAATTCAAGAATATTGGTCCACGTTATTCTAAGTGAAGTAACTCAGGAATGGAAAACCAAATATCATATGTTCTCACCTATAAGTGGGAGCTAAGCTATGAGGACACAAAGACATAAGAATGATAATGGATTTTGGGGACCTGAAGGGGAAGGGTGGGAGGAGGGTAAGGTATAAAAGACTACATATTGGATACAGTGTACACTGCTCAGGTGACAGGTGCACTAAAATTTCAGAAATCACCACTAAAGAACTTACCCATGTAACCAAAAACCACCTGTACCCCAAAAACCATTGAAATAAAAATTTAAAAAAAAAATCAACTTTAAAAAAAAGAATATTGGCCCAAACTTGTAACATGTTGGCAGTGTCTCTCTCTCTACAATGCCAGGCTGGCCTAGAATTCTTGGCCTCAAGTGATCCTCCTGCTTTACCAGTTAAGTTTTTATGTGAGTATATCCAAAGTAATGAAGTTAAGGTTAAAAAAAATTCCAAACTTTATATCTAAAATGAAGATATCTAAACTTTGTATTAGTAATCATCTAGTAAAATAATTTATTTATTTTTGTTTTATTGGTCTTAGAAAAAAGGTCTTTCTCTGTTGCCCAGGGTAGAGCGCAGTGGTGGGATCATAGCTCACTACAGCCCCAATCTCCTGGGCTCAAGTGATCCTCTCGCCTCAGCCTTCTGAATAGCTGGGACTATGGTACACACCATCACGCCCAGCTAATTTTTTATTTTTATTTGCGTGGAGATAGGGTCTCGTTTTGTTGCCCAGGTGATCTTGAACTGCTAGCTTCAAGCAATCCTCCTGTCTTGGCTTCCCAAAGTGCTGGGATTATATGCGTGAGCCACCCAGCCCAGCTACTCACTGAAATTATAAGCCCAGATTGTAGCTCTGCCCAAATGGACAACAAATCAGTAGGTGTGAATGACTATAAGGAAGACAGACACTATTCTTAAAATAAATAAACGGACCCATATGAGAAATTCTCTGTACAGTTCTGATCATGAGGCCTCAAGAACATAATAGAGTACTAACTGGATAATTTTGAGTAAAGGTGGAGAGGAAGGTCAAGGAGGATAAGGGCTGCACCTCACAGGGACCCTGCTGGTCAGCATGACAACACTGGGGCAGAGGAGCCCTGGGTGGACCCTGCATAGCAATTCCTAAGCATGCTTCTCATTCTCAACCTCATGCCTCCAATTCAGAAAACTATGTGAAAAATGTCTGCATGGCCAGGCGTGGTGGCTGACACCTGCAATCCCACTACTTTGGGAGGCTGAGGTGGGCAGATCACGAGGTCAGGAGTTCAAGACCAGCCTGGCCAACATAGTGAAAACCTGTCTCTACTAAAAATACAAAAACTAGCCGGGAGTGGTGGCACCCACCTATAGTCCCAGCTACTTGGGAGGCTGAGGTGGGAGAATCGCTTGAACCGGGAGGCAAAGGTTGCAGTGAGCCAAGACCATGCCATTGTACTCCAGCCTGGGTGACAGAGTGAGACTCAGTCTCAAAAAAAAATAAAAAGAAAAAAGAAAAATGTCTGTATTATATGCCCATAGTGGGCTGTCCTAGCAGTAGTCCTACATTTCCAAAAGTCTGGTAAAGACAAAAACAGGTAAACTGTATTTAATTAAAACGCTTACAGAAATTAAACAAGTACTATTACTTTTACCTCTTTGATAGCTTTTATAAGGTTTTCAGAGACTGTAAAGGGGCCTATAATAATAGTCTAAACAGTCCAAGAGAGAGACAAATTACACAAAGTGGTACAACTGCAATATCCCTCCAAGGAACACGTAGAATTTGTTCTACTAACCCAAAACATGTAACAAGAACAGTAAAAATTACTCTAAAACTCATAAAAAATAGTCTTTAACTTCTGAGAAGTTGTCATCTGAAGGATTACTAGTTATATATTTGGATTCACTATGAGCAATGTTACAAATGGTTTTTAAGTTCCATGTGACCTTGAGCATTAAAGTTAAATAGTAACATGGGATAATTAGCTTTATCAGACTAACCTAGGATCCTATGCACCACTCAGAGAGAGCACTGTTTCTAAGAGGAAATTTACTCTGAGTATGAACTATGATTAAGTTCTAATTTGTACTACCAAGACAAAGCCTTATCCCATCCTTAACTCAGCATAGCCACAAACATAGGCCTAAAGCTCCCTGAGCAACAGAAAGAGGGTGGGAAATATGTGCCTGATACCTCCAATGAGAGAAAGATCACAGCATGGGGCAGCCACAGCAGTGGGCAATGACAGGGTCTCAGGCATCTCTTGGCAGTGAAGAAGAGAAGCTCTAGCTGTAAGAGCAGAAAAGCTTTGTCTCTAACGAATGAGACACGAAGGTAAGAATATACTATTTAAGGCTGAAAAATGCCTCAATTTCCCAAATGAACTAACATCACTCGATAAACAAGAGCAAGACCATTCAGTAAGGCTTAATAGATAGCATGAGAAGACCCGCACTAAAAGAACAGGCTGGGCACAGTGGCTCACACCCGTAATCGCAATACTTTGGGATGCTGAGGCAGGAGGGTTGCTTGAGCCCAGGAGTTCAAGACCAATCTGGGCAACATGGTAAGACCCTATCTCTACAAAAAAATTTTAAAAATCAGCCAGGTGTGGTGGCGCATGCTTGCAGTACCAGCTACTTGGAAGGCTGAGGCAGAAGGATCACTTCAGCCCAGGAGGTCATGGCTGCAGTGAGCTATCATGGTGCCACTGTATTCCAGCCCGGGTGATAGAGTGAGACCCTGTCTCCAAAGAAAGAGCACATAGTGAGATTGCTCATCATTTTATTATAAACATCAACTTATTTTTTCCAAACTCTTCTCTATGTTCTTTACGACAAATTAATTGCTTACCAGTTTTGCTTCAAGTCCAAATATCGAATGTTGACTCCTTCTTTAATAGCTTCATAGTTACTTTCAGATCCCTACATGAAAATATCAATAATGTAAGCTTCTCAAGTGCAGGAATGATTTATTTTCACCTTTATATCCCTAGTACCTAGTGAAGTGCTTCACCCATAACTCAGTTGCTGAATAATGTATACATTAAAAAAAAAATCGCTAAGCAAGTAAACCAATGCATTCCAATATTTCTGGAGATTGACTAACCCATTTCCACTTAATCTGATAACCATACACTATGTTGTTTATTACACTGAAATGTGTTGAAATAAATAAAACAATTAAGGGAACCAGCATTATCATACAACCATAAACATGAATTACAGAGATGAATATTATTGTTTCTTACCCAAATAGCATCGGTAATGTTTTCCTTCAGGGCTCTATTTATATCCCAACTGTATGCATGCTTTTCTGAAGAATCATCTAATTCCCATTTACTGATGTTTGAACTCGTCAGGCTATAAAAGCTTGATCTCTCTCTATCCCAGAGAACACTTGAAAGCTATTCAGAAAAGAAAAGGAAGTCAAATTCACAGATTAACTTCTAATGCTAAGGAACTATTGTTTTAAAAGTCAAATTTCACATATGTGATTAGTAATCCTAGCAGAATTCTTCATTTGGGATTTAAAGAAAGTAGTGATCCTGGGCCGGGTGTGGTGTCTTACCCCTGCAATCCTAGCAGTTTGGGAGGCCGAGACAGGTGGATTGCCTGAGCTTAGGAGTTCAAGACCACCCTGGGCAACATGGTGAAACTCCATCTCCACTAAAATACAAAAAAGTAGCCGGGTGTGGTGGCACACGCCTGTAGTCCCAGCTACTCAGGAGACTAAGGCAGGAGAATCACTTGAACCCAGGAGGTGGAGGCTGCAGTGAGCCGAGATCGCACCACTGCACTCTAGCCTGGCGACAGAGTGAGATTCCATCTCCAAAACAAACAAACAAAACAAACCAGAAATGAGTGATCCTGAAATAGAGCTTGAGGGCAAGGTTGGATCTATAGGAAGAAGGATACAGGTGGAAAGCCCAAGAGGAGAAGAGCTGAAAGGTGGGAAAGTTACAGCGTCTTTGGAGAACAAGAAGTCATCCTGTTACATTGGAATGTAGATGACAAGTAGAAAAGAAGAAAAAATAAGGATTTTTTGAAAAATAATGAGGCCAGGCGTGGTGGCTCGTGCTTGTAATTCCAACACTTTGGGATACCAAGGAGGGAGGCTCATTTGAGCTCAGGAGCTTGAGACCAGCCTGGGCAAAATGCTGAGACCCTGTCTCTATTTTTAAAAATAAATAAAAATAAAAAATAATGAAAAATCAGGGACATATAGCAGAGAGTGTTGAATGTGAATTGGTAAGTGTAGCAAGCAAGGGAGATATTATCAATAGCTTCTGAACACAGAATTGTGTTTGAATGCATTTGGCAGAATGTATGTAGTTAGTCATGAAGAGGAGTGTTATTTTGCCTTTTCAGTATATACTTAATCATGAAGTATAGATATTCGGCTTTTTAAAGCTGGATATACATGACTGTTTTGTGTTAAAACGCATCACTGATAGGGCAGAAAGGCCAACAGTAAGTAAACTGAGCAGGTACCAGGAGCTTAGGTGAAATTTATCAAGAGTATAGGTTAGGGCATAACATCAAAAGCAGAAAGATGGGGATGGAAATGAGATTGGATAGAAGTTAAATCTACAGCACCTGGTAAATAACTAGTTTGCTATAGAAGGAGAGGGAGACACAAAAAATAACAAGGTTTTATACCTGGGTCACTGAAAAAAGGGATGGTGCTCTTAACAAAAACAGGTCAAAAGAGAAATGAGTTTTATAGGGTTAAGTGAGTAGCCAATAGGAGAGATGAAAGAACACAATAAATTTGTTTTTAAACATGTTAAGTTTAGGTTTAAAGAACATTCAAGGAAGCAGGTGATAATTATCTGAAACAAGAGGGAAACAGCACAGTAAAAAGAGCATGTTCTTTAAATTCAGACAGGCCTGGGTATGATTCCCAGCTCTGCCACTCAGCAGTTACACACCTTCAGCCTTGCTGAGGGTGCTTCCTCATCTGTAAACTGGCGGGAAAGCATGCTACCTTACAGGTTGTCACAATGATTACACAATATGAATATAACAACTATAGAGCACCGAGCAGCGAGTAGATGGTCCATAAATATTAGTTCCCATCATCTTCCCTTCACTATGCTAGAGTATGGTGCAGAGAAGTCCAGCCAACAGATCTAGATTTCAGTCATCCACACAGACAGCTGGAGGCATGAGTAGAAACACGCTTCTGGTTAAATCTAAAAAGTCAAATTAATCTTTAAGAAACACATTTTATATTTTACATAATAGTTTTAGTTCAAAAAATGTACTTGTGAGATAATCTGTCTGATTTAAAGATTTTAGTGTTACAAGTTATGGGAGAAGGTTAGTATGATCTCATTTCATCATAATAAAAATAGTTCACTAAAAAGACCAAAGGTTTTATTTCGCATAAGCTACTGTCCATATGGAGGAATACTAAATTCAGAGGATACTTTCAACTTATTGATTTAACTAAGAAATAAGCTTGTAAAATAGTTATTTTATAAACTTACTGTGAGATCACTACTAGGAGATAAAATTCCAAAAAGAGAAGAAACTTTTCGACCAATTCCTGAAAGCATGCCTTGCCCCTGAGGCAGGATATGCTGATGAATCTTTCCTGAGCTCTCAGGTATCAACCGAATTAGTTGGCTTCCTGATGAAGACAAAATAAAACTTCCTCCCTGTGAAAAAACATTATGAGGTTAGTTCAGTTTAGCATCGAATGCTAAGATAAAATGAAAAATTCTTTGATACAGAGAAAAATCATCGTAATTGAAATAAATCTAAAAGAATACAAAATAGAACGTTGTTATTTTATTAAAGTAATATATTTCAGAATCCATTCAGTTAATATTATTAATCCTACATAGAAAAACTCTCATAAGAAAAAAACTGGCCAGGCATGGTGGCTCACACCTGTAATCCAGCACTTTGGGAGCCCAAGGCGGGGTGAAACCCCGTCTCTATTAAAAATACAAAAATTAGCTGGGCGTGGCGGTGCGCACCTGTAATCCCAGCCACTTGGGAGGCAGAGGCACAAGAATTGCTTGAACCCAGGAGGCAGAGGTTGCAGTGAGCTGAGATTGCGCCACTGCAATCCAGCCTGGGTGACAGAGTAAAACTGTGTCTCGAAAAAAGAAAAAAAAAAAAAACAACTTTTGTAGCAGAAAAAAATTGCATATTTTTTAAATTCTGATTTTTAAACTACAAGTTCATCATATTTCAGATTCAACAAATTAGGTTATCAGATTTTATTTATTTATATTTTTTGTTTGCTATTTTATTTTTTTAGAGATAGGGTCTCGCTCTGTCACCCAGGCAGAAGTGCAGTGGTGAGATCATAGTTCACTGCAGCCTCAATCTCCTGGGCTCAAGAGATCCTCTTGCCTCAGCCTCCTGAGCAGCTGGGACTACAGGCACACACCACTATGCCCAGATAATTTTTAAATTTTTTTGTAGAGACAAAGTTTTGTTTTATGGCGCAGGCTAGTCTTGAACTCCTGGCCTCAGGCAATCCTTCCGCTTCAGCCATTCAAAGTGGTGAGACTGCACGCATGAGCCACCATGCTCAGCCAGATTTTGTTTCTTTGTGAACCTACAAAGAAGATAATGCAAGCCATTCTTTATAGTGTCTGACAGTTTTTAAGCCAATCTTATAAAATGTTTCTAAAAGAAATTCATATCACAAGCTACTATCTGAAATTGATATTTTGGAGTCCTGTGAGAAGAGCCTCCCTTGTCTAACTGTTCAAATCATAGATCCTTACATTCTTCTCTTCCTTGTCTCTTTTTGATCCCTCCCCGGCCTCTATAGTCTCTTTAAAACCCCACATTTTTAGTCATCAAATCTCATTTCCACGGCTGGGGTGCAGTGGCTCATGCTTGTAATCCCAGTACTTTGGGAAGCCAAAGCAGGAGTTATTGCTTGAGCCCAGGAGTTTGAGAATTGCCTGGGCAACATAAGGAGATCCCACCTCTATTTAAAAATAAAAACAAAAATTTATTTCCAAGCCAAATCACAGCTTTCCAATAAATATAAAGGAATATCCGTGGTATACCTGCACTGCTGTTAGGAAACTGTAAGTCTTATCACCTCCCGAATCTACAAAAGCCTCTGTGTAGGTATCTTCACCAGCAAGGCTTGGCCAATAGCGGATAGATCCTTCTCTGGTGGCAACCATGACAGCAACAGCCTCAAAACAAGATCACAACAATCAGCAATCACAATAAAAGAGGAACCCAAAAACCAGCAGTCTGATGGCAATGATACAAAGAAACAGGACAATTTACTATTTGATCAAGAAAAATCAGAAATAAGAACTCACCAGTGTTTTGGTTTGCATTTTTCTAATGGCTAATGATGCTGAACATCTCTTCATGTGCTTATGTGCCATCCTTATATCCTCACTAAGTGTCTGTTCAAGTCCTAGCCCCTGTTTTTAAACTGCATTGTTTTCTTATCAAGTTTAGAATTTTAAAAAATATTCTGGATACAAGTCCTTTGCTGGATACATGATTTGCAAATTCTTCTTACTCTGTAACTTGTCTCTTCATTTTCTTGTCTTTGGCAAAGCAACGCTTTAAATTTTTATTTTATTTTAATTTTATTATTAATTTTATCAAACTTTTCTTTTATGGATCATGCTTTTGGTGATTTCCAAGAACTCTGTCTAATCTCAGGTCATGATGATTTTCTTCTGTTTTCTTCTAAAAGTTTTACTGTTTTACATTTAGATCTATGACCCATTTCAAATTAATCTTTGTAACAAGGTATGAGGTTTAAGGGAAAATTCAATACAATACAATACAAATTGGTCATTTGTAATTTTAAAATTACAAATGTTCCTACACTATGCATTGATACAGAGAAAAATCATCGTCAAAAACCATCCTTTCTGAATTGCTTTTGCACCTTCATCAAAGACCAAATGGGTGCCTTTATGTGGATCTATAACTGTATTCTCTATTCTGTTACACTGACCTATGTGTGTAGCTCTCTTTGCCAATACCACAATATCTTGATTTCTATAGGTTTATAGTTATATCTCAAAATCAAAGAGGATGATTCCTCTAACTTTAGGATGTCCTTGTTGTAAAAAGTTTATTTAAATAAGCTTTTAAGTCACCTACCTGAGTAGAATGTGCTTCACCTGAGGGAGAAGAGTAAGAAAGAGCCACTAAGTCGGCACTCCAGTGGAAATCACTAGGTGGCAGCTGAAGTTCTTTGCAAACGGATAACTGTAGAACAAACCCAAACAGAAAATCTTTCACATCAAATCCAGTATTTTGAAGATGCATCTGATTTCCCTTCTCTGCATATTTTAGATTCTGACTCACTGCTGGAAACACCATTCTACAAATATTCTTTCTTCTCACATCTCCTTTTAATCAGGCTTTCAGTAATTTTAAAACAAAGTATCTTAAGAGTATTGAATCATGAAAACTTAAAGGTAGACCAAACTCTGAAGAACAACTATCCTAACCTCTTCCTGGGCTAGAAAAGTCCAGTTAAGAGAAGACTAAGTAAGGTTAAGATGAGTGCTTAGGCTTCCTATGGAACTTTCCCAATTTACTCTTGATTTGTTCATCTGACATTTAAAATTAGCATGACCAAAGAGTAATTATACCAAGTTACCTAGGAAACAATTTCTTAGACTCTCAGCCAAATATCAGGATCCCGCAGCTAACTCAGTATGTCCCCCAGGAATTCACCCTCACCTATTACTCCTAACCACATACACCCTTTTCTAGGCAGCAGTAACACAGAGTTCAGCAGAAGTGAAGAATTGAGGTAAGCAGGAGCCCTGAGTTCCAACGGAACATGGCCAAGGAAGTAATGACTGGTAGAAGAGAGTAGTGTATCTAAGCTGTAACAAACAGAAAAAGGTTGCTGAGGATACGTTACTAGACATGCAAATGATAACCCACTGTTGGAAGTGGACAAGTGAAAAGTTTAACTAGCAACTGGTATCATATTTTCTTATTTTATTAAGCATCATTCAGTAGGTTCAACAAAACATAGTTCTGTCTTCTCAGAAATACGCAAACTCAAAGTTCATTTGCTTATGTGGATAGCATTTAGTCTGATACTTCATTAGGCAGACGGATTAGCATTATATTCATTGGAAATATCAATGACTCTAATTTTATTAAATGTAAACAACACAGATCTTCAAAAGGGGGAAACTTTTTTCCCAATACACAAATGTGTATGCATGCTCATTATTTCACATCACTATGAAAATGCAAACTCTTAATGCCTAAGTAGTTTCCTATTGACTATCCTCCAACTGTAAAAAAATTAGGGTAAAAATGAAAAGTCAATTGGCATTCCTCTCCTCTATCTTGTTCCAGCTCTCTAAAGAGCCATTACCTTAGTAATAGGTGACAGAGCAATCTTCCAAATAATGAGCTTCTCTTTGCACACCAGACAAGCCCATCCACCTTCATCTATGTTAATGGTCAGCTGGTCATCGACTAAAGGAAAAAATGAGGTGGGTGATTAATCTTATAGTATAAATCTTTATTACCACACGCTTTATCAAAAAAAAGTAATTGGCACACTCAGAAACGACTACCTCACAACAAATACTTTTGAATATTCCAAAATTATCAACACCAAAAACAATAGATCTATTAACTCTGATAACCAACTTTAGAAATATATCTAACGCCTGTAATCCCAGCACTTTGGGAGGCCGAGGTGGGAGGATCACGAGGTCAGGAGATCGAGACCATCCTGGCTAACATGGTGAAACTCCAACTCTACTAAAACTACAAAAAATTAGCTGAGTGTGGTGGCACGTGCCTGTAGTCCCAGCTACTTGGGAGGCTGAGGCAAGAGAATCGCTTGAACCTGGGAGGTGGAGGTTCCAGTGAGCCGAGATCGTGCCACTGCACTCCAGCATGGGCAACAGAGCCAGACTCCATCTCAAAAAAAAAAAAAAAAAAAAAAGAAAGAAAAAAGAAATATATCTAAAGGCAAAAAGTGTATTTGGGACATTTAATATTCCTTAATTTTTTGTTACAAACAGACCAGATAGCTTATTTCCTATAAGACATATTTAGGCCAGGCACAGTGGCTCATGCTTATAAATCCCAATATTTTGGGAGGCCACCCTGGGAGGACTGCTTGAGGCCAGCCTGGGCAACATAGTGAGACTCTCTCTCTTAAAAAAAAAAAAAAAAAATAGCCAGGCTTGGCAGTGCACTTCCCAGCTACTAGGGTGACTGAGGCACAGGAGAACCACTTGAGCCCAGGAGATTGAAGCTGCAGTAAACCATGATCACATCACTCCCACCTGGTCAAGAGAGCAAGACTCCATATCAAAAAATAAGTAAGCAGAAACAACAAAAGAGAGGCCAGGCAGGGTGGCTCACGCCTGTAATCCCAGCACTTTGGGAGGCCGAGGTGGGTGGATCATGAGGTCAGGAGTTCGAGACCAGCCTGGCCAACATGATGAAACCCCATCTCTACCAAAAATAGAAAAAAAAATTAGCCAGGCATGGGGGCATGGTGGCGTGCACCTGTAATCCTAGCTACTCGGGAGGCTGAGGCAGGAGAATTACTTGAACCTGGGAGGCAGAGGTTGCATTGAGCTGAGATCGCGCCACTGCACTCCAGCCTGGGCAACAGAGCAAGACTCTGTCTCAAAACAAACAAACAAAAAAGAAATATTTAGCAACATTTATAATTATATCGATAAAGTAAAACAAATAACAAACTCATTAACTATATAAAACATTTCAAGGAAAACAATGTGCTTTTGGAGGACCAAAAGCACATAATTTTCAAATAAGAGCTCCTTAAAGGAATGATAAATTATTTAGTACATGGAGACAAAGAGTTACGTTCTCTATTAAGTGACAAAACTAAATTAGCACATATCTTAAGTATTGGTGGTAAACCTCCACAAATGTGTTAACAGCCCTGGAAATTTTATTAAGTTGAGCTTTGCTCTTTACTTACAGAAAGGTAGAAGGGTGAAGTAAAAGGCATAGACAATGTACAAGCAAAAATATCAAACCAAGCCCAGGCTGAGTGAGGCTTTTTGCTCAACTGAACTATCTGCTCAGTAATTTTCTTTTTCTTGAAAGCACTACAACTCCAGATCCTCGACCGGTGTGCCTTTAAGGGCTGACTTAACAGTAGTTGGCAGGTTTCTAAGTGGGGAAGAGTTCTTCAAGTTGACACACCTCTTTGTTTTATATATCCTAATTTCTAAGGACTCTCTGAATTTCTAGATTTGGGGCTGTGTTATTTAATCTAGTCTGTTAAAATATGAGTAGTACATTAAAAGGTTTAAATGTAAACTGAAATTTTTAGAGGGGAAAAATATACACATATATACCAATATATATATATACATTTATTTATTTAAAACAGAACAATGTATAGAAAGGTTAGTAGTTGTCTGAAAACAACTATCCCTAAAGCTCCCAAGGACCTACAGGCAAGATGTGCCAAGTTCCAGTTGATGAGATATATTCCTTCTTCTAAAACAGAGTAATTTCAGCATTTTTTTTTTACTGTTATTAAGTTATACAGTAAATAGAGTTATTCACAGTATAATACATTTTACATCACGATACACCCATATACAATTTAAGTAAAACGAACAAAATTTACTAAACATATGAGATGCATTCTATTTCTTCTTTTTTTAAATGCTGGTCAAGAACCGCTAAATTTTGGTCACCCCTACAATTTGAAAAATACTGTTCCAGAAAAATCACAAAGATCTAGAATTCAAGCCTTAATAAAAATGACTTCAGCAGATATTAAGGCTGCTCTGAACTTTGCTCTTCCAGTGTCATCCAACTGCTCATCTTTAAAGTTGCCTTTCTAAGCTTGTGTTGATTGTATCTGTCAAAATTCCACACTAATTCTCCACCAACAGACGCTTCTAAAGGTACACCACGACAATGGTAACGTCATAAATTTGTGCACACAGCCTCTGGGATGCTACATAGGATCCAGAAATGGAGGTAGGACTTGATTTTACTGTATTATTAAACCCAATAACATGAGGTGCCAGTTTTGGGGTTTCACGGGAAACTTCATAAACCTGATCAACTCTGTAAACAGGACTGAATTTTGCATATACAGTATTTCCCCCTTTTATCTGCAGTTTCAAATACCTGTGGTCAATCGTAGTCTGAAAATATTAAATGGAAAATTCAAATGAACAATTCCTAAGTTGTAAATTGCATGCTGTTCTGGGTAAAGTGATAAAATCTCATACTGTCCTGCCTAAAGGTTGTGAATCAACCCTTTGTGCAGCATATCCATACTGTATACCCCAAGCTTGTCCAACCCATGGCCCAGGGACACGTGTGGCCCAGGACAGCTTTGAATGCGGTCCAACACAAGTTTGTAAACTTTCTTAAAACATGATAAGATTTATACACAGACCTTTTCATTATTTATTTTTAGCTCATCAGCTATCGTAAGTGTATTTTATGTGTGACCCAAGACAATTCTTCTTCCAAGTGGCCCAGGGAAGCCAAAAGATTGGACACCCCTGAGACTATCCAGCTGTTTGTCACTTAGTAGCTGTCTCAGTTACCAGATGAACTGTCGCAGTAATGCAATGCTTATATTCTCATTTTAGTTAATGACCCCAAACGAAGTACAAGAGTAGTGCTGCTGGTATATTGTTATAATTGTTCTACTTTATTATTACTGTTGTTCATCTTTACTGTTCCTAATTTATAAACTAAAGTTTATCATAGGTGTGTATGTATTAAAAAAACACAGTATATATAAGGTTTAGTACTATACAAGGTTTCAGGCATCCACTGGGGATCCTGGAAGATATCCCCCAAAGATAATGGGGGACTACTGTACAGTACCTAAAACCATTAAAGACTTAATTTGATTGTGTTCAAATGAACTCATTCTCCTTCTCGAATGTATTATACATCTCAATTACAGTTAAAAAAAAAAAAAAAAAAAAAAAAAAAAACTAAGACAGGTGGCCAGATGTGGTGGCTCACGCCTGTAATCCCAGCACTTTGGGAGGCCAAGGAGGGCAGATCACCTGAGGTCAGGAGTTCAAGACCAGCCTGGCCAACATGGTGAAACCCTGTCTCTACTAAAAATACAAAAAATTAGCTGGGCGTGGTGGCTCACACCTATAATCCCAGCTACTTGGGAGGCTGAGGCAGGAAACTCGCTTGAACCTGGGAGGTGGTGGTTGCAGTGAGCTGAGATCACACCACTGCACTCCAGCCTGGGTGACAGAGTGAGACTCTGTCTCGAAAAAATAAAAATAAAAAAACACTAGACAGGCCACCCATCTCTCACCATTTACGTAAAGGTATACTAGAGAAAACATAAATTTAATCTCTATGCCACATCTAGGCTCCATTTTAAACTGCTAATATAGGTAAATGGAAAGATGACACCTACCTTCAGCCAATGTTAGGGCTTCCATGACTTTAACAGGAAGAGAAGATCCAAACGTTTTCACATCATAGTTCACAGACTCAGTTATGGAGTGGTGTGGGAACATTCGTGTTGGTGTTCCCCTAAAGAAAAGAGTCTATATTACCTTACTTGTAACTTAAAATTCTCCATTATCCTAATTTTTTATGTATATATTTTCACAGTAAGGAGTTCTTTGAAAAAAATTAACACTGGCTCATATTTACCATGTAATTAAATGTAATATTTTTCATGTAAAAAAAAAACAAAACAGGATTTAGGAAAACTTGGCTTCAATCCCATAGACTCTAGTATTGAAATGCATGCCTGTATTCACTTAAACTCCTTATAATTCTGCCTCCTTAGCTGTGAAATAAGGCTTAACTAGACCAGTGTTTTTTTTTTTTTTTTTTCAAACAGCGGGTCATTTTGCAGATCTCAACATTTTTGAAAGACAGAATATAAAACATCAGCTTTTACCATATGTTGTGGTCAAATACATTTTATAAATATTGGCTTAGATGAGATTTAAGCTCATCTAGCTTTAGGTGCTTAAGAGTCCACCAGACCTGGCCGGAGCAGTGGCTCATGTCTATAATCTCAGCACTTTGGGAGGCCGAAGCGGGAAGACTGCTTGAGACCAGGAGTTCAAGACCAGCCTGGGGAACGTGGCAAGACCTTGTCTCTACAAAAAAAATTTTAAATTAGCCGGGCATTGTGGCACCAGCCTGTAGCCTGGGCGACAGAGAGTGAGACCCTGTCTCTTTAAAAAAAAAAAAAAAAAAACTATCAGATCTGTACAACCAAGCAAGAAATCGAACAGGTTACGAGCATCAGCTGTTACATGGTCCTCAACAGCAGATATCACAGTAAAAACTTTATTTCTTGCTCACCCTCTTAACATTTAGAATATTGTAAAGTCACCAGAATAAAAGGTAGTCTATGTCTTATCACGAGAATTAAATGAGAAGATGCACATACAGAAGGGCTAAGGGCTTTGTTTCCTGACAGAGGATAACAAAGGTTTTTCTTCAAATGATCACAAGAAGAGATTTAAATAAAACAACACACAGTAAATAAAGTATGCTTTTATTCTCCAACTTTTCGCAAAAGGAATAGAAAACACTGACAAGATCAGCACTTTGAAAAGAACTTTTCAAAATATGCCAAAAAAAGTCAAAGATACAGTGTATTCTTTCAAAACCACTTCTCCTTTAAAGTACTGAAAAATTTTACAGATAAATTTTAACCATAATTTCAAGACACAATACTTTGTGTTTCCTGCAGGGAAAAATTCATTTTTTATAGATGAATTCAGAGAAAACTATGCAGAAACACTAAAGTTTTAGGTTAATTATGAACATGGTGTGTGTTGGGGGTGGGGAGGGGTGTGTGTGTGTGATGATTTTACTGGTGCTCCAAACGAGCAGTTTTAGTAACTAAACTATCACAGTACTCTTAGCTCACTTATGTAAAGCCTTTTCCTTATAATTTACCTAGAAAGTTAAATTCCGTAGCTAGAAACCCTTTAATTACCAATCATCAGATATTAATGTCAGTTGGTATGTTAGGCATTAAACAATGATCTTTCAGGGTTGTAGGTCCTCATTATCACCATCACCTTACATCTGCATCGTGGCAATTCATAATAACTCCTCTGGCTCAGGTGAGATATATTATCGCCATTTCACAGATGAAGAAAATCACGAGTGACTTACACCAGATCACACGGGTAGTAGGTGGGAAGTAGGTAAACACTGATGCAAATCCAGTTTGTACTTCACTTCTGCACAAAGGTATCCATGAAAAATGCAAAGTGGGGAATCAACTGATCAACTGATAATCAAAACGAAGCAGATACTACCTGCAGCAGTGGAAAAGGTCTATTTTCCAATACTGTGGCATTCTATTCCGCCGCCCCGGTTCCAAAGGCTTCTAAAGACAACAACCTATCCGGCCCACTGCGGCCCGTGAGGCTGTTGGTTGCCAGACCCAACCAGGGAGATCACTTACCGCGAGCTTAGCGAGCTACGCCGGCCGACCGGCGAGAAGAGCACTGGGGAGCTGACTGCAGACCCCAGGGGCAGACCCTTCCTGCTAGCCGTCCGGGGCGTGGAGCCGGGCCCGAGTCCGGCCAGCGGGCCCCTTCGGGACCCGGTACCCGGGGTCCGCGGAGAAGGGGCGGCTGGGAACATGACTCCAAGGAGCAGCGACTAGGACAGCGAGGGATCTGGCCGTCAGGTTGCAGCCTGGCCTGCGCGCGGAACTTAAACACCTAAGGGAAGAGATGGCGCGCGATGATGACGTCAAACGCAATGGCTCCCGCGGGTTGTGGTCGGAGCGCTGGCGGGGGCGGGATCGTGACGTTAAGGGCGGTGCCCAGTCAGCGAGGTAGGTCGGGAAGGCAGCCGGCGGCCCCAGATCTAGAACCGCTGCAGTGCCGAGCTTCCAGGGACGTGAAGCCGGAAAGCCAGGCGCCCTTCTTGACTGCGCCTAGGTGGAACTGGCCCTCCAGCAGCTTGAACGTAGCCTCTTTTCACACTGGTAGTTCCTGAACCTCTTGTGAAATGAAAGATGTTCCTCATTCCAAGCTGAGGACGGAGAAAAGCCGTAAAGCTGACACTGGTATCGCACTGTGATATTTGTTGTTTTCTAGGTTTGCCATTTTCCCATTCAACTTTGCGCAGTCTCATCCACGCTGATGACGCCACAAATCCGTGTCTCTAACCTGGATCCAGCTCAAAACCCCCAGACCCCTATCATTCAGCTCCCTAGGGGACAATTTCAGCTGGAAGTCCTGCGAACTCCTCACAATCCACTTATGAAAAGCGCATTCATGTTTTCCTTTAGGACCCCTCTCCTACCACCATCTCTGTTCCAGCTTGGTAAAACTGGCCAGTTGTCCAAGGCAAAGAGAAGAGCTCTATCTGCAGTCATCCCTCACACCTACCTCCACCCTAAGATCATGGTATACGTTGTAAGGTCCTACGTGTCTGTACTAGATCACACATTTGCACTGCCTCTGCCCTGGTTCTGGTACTTACCTTTCCCTCAACCACTGCGTAGCCTCTTCTGCCAGCGGGAGGGAGTAGGGGAGATGGGGAGAGGGTTCCTTACCTGTGTCTAGTCTTCCTCCACTCTATCTTCTCACTGCCAACACAATGAATTAAGGCAAACGTAATGCTGCTCTTGGGCCTGTAAATGCTTCAGTGGCTGACCATTGCCAGTAGGTTATTTGCTAAGCTCCTTTGCAAGGTCCTATGTGATCTAAGTCAGGTTGGCTTTTCCGTCCGTGTTGTACTTCCAGCACTTCCCACTTGCACTCCACATTCCGAGAACTTAAAAACCCAAATCTCCCTCCAGTGCCCATGTCCATGTTTCTCTCACCTGGAATGCACTCCCTGCCTTGTTGGTCCAGAAGGCGCCTACCTTCCGCATCAAGTTAGTTCTGTGCTGCCTTCTCAGTGAAACCTTCCACAGGATTAGGTCCCCCTTATCCTTTGTCCTCTCTGCTCCTGTGTGTAGACTGTATTTTTATCCTGCATAATAGTTTGTTTTCATAATTGTCTGTCAAGTACTTCCTTTTAAATGTCTTGACAGCAAGAGCAGTGACTTTGTTACCTTTGTGGCACACAGTAACAGACACATAGTAGACTTTCATTCAACGTGTGTTGAAATAAGGGAATGGTTAAGTAAACATTGACGTATTCACATGTGGGAGACCACAGTGTGGGTGTCAGTTGTTGACATTCCCCTGGGAAGCCAGTCATCTATCTATGCACCAGTGGCATCTGAGCAGTCATCTTGCCAAGGTTACATAGGCTAGCTGCTTTACTCCTTCTCCCACCTGGGTGTCTAACCCAACTTGGCAGCTTGTTGAGTCTTATAGCTCTGAGAGCCCAGTGCATTTCCTCCCTGTTTCATTCTTACAAGGAGGGGTGTGAAATAGGCAATAGAGAGTATTAATAGTTGTGTCTGAGAGGATTGGTGGGATCAATTTTATTCTTGTGCTTTGTTGGACTGGTTAGTGGTTTCCCCAGCATCCTAATGTAAAAGCTGTTGTTTGCAGGAGCTAGAATGACTTGTCAGCCACCTTTGAGCAAGAACTTGCCTGGAGTCCAAATGTATGGCTATTGAAGGATAGTAAGCAGACAGCACTAAAAGTCATCCATTCGTTATGGATTTAGTGAGTACCTACCATGTGCCAGGCTATGTGATAATTGCTAAGGCTTATAACTAAACAAAGCCCATGGGTCCTACCCTCATGGAGATTACAGACCAATGAGAAAGACAGACACTGAAAAAATGAACACAAATATCCAGCTACAAGCTGAGATGTGTACTATGAAATAAAAGAGCAAAGTGTATGAGAGAGAATCACTGGGGCTACCTATTTTTGCATGGAGGTCTATAAAGGTCTCTGGGAGAAAAGGACGTTTAACCTGAGACATGAAGCATAAGAGAATAGGAGGAAGAATGTTTCAGGCAGAGGATCCTTGGCCAAAGGTCCTGAAGCAGCAAAGGACTTGGTGCATTCTAGGAACTTTATTTATTCTTATTTTACTTTATGATTTTTCTAGAGATTGGGTCTTACTCTGTTGCTCAGGCTGGAGTGCAGTGGCGTGATCAAAGCTCACCACATCCTTAACCTTCTGGGCTTCAGTGATCCTCCTGCCTCAGCCTCTGAGTTGGGACCATGGGCATGTACCACCACACCTGCCTATTTTTTATTTATATATATATTTTTAGAAATGGGGTCTCACGGCCAGGCATAGTGGCTCACGTCTCTAATCCCGGCACCTTGCAAGGCTAAGGTGTGGGAGGATGGCTTGAGGCTAGTAGTTCAAGACCAGCCCCTGGGCAACATAGCAAGACCCTGTCTCCCCAAGAAATTTTATTTTAAATTCTAAAAAAAATACAATTAAAAAATGGGGTCTTGCTATATTTCCCAGGCTGGTCTCAAACTCCGGGTCTTAAGTGATCCTCAAGCCTCAGCCTTCTGAGTAGCTGGGATTAGAGCCAGAGACTTTAAACAAACAAATCAACCTGAAAGACTAAAAGTAAAGGGAATTGGAGAAATAAGGAGAGACCATGAAGGGCCTTGTAGGCTCTGTCAAATAAGATCCTAGAGAAGGCCAGGCGTGGTGGCTCACACCTGTAATTCCAGCACTTTGGGAGGCCCAGGCAGGTGGATTGCCTGAGGTCAGGAGTTCAAGACCAGTTTGGCTAACATGATGAAACCCCATCTCTACTAAAAATACAAAAAAATTAGCTGGGCATGGTGGTGTGTGCCTGTAATCCTAGCTACGTGGGAGGCTGAGGCTGGGGAATTGCTTGAGCCAGGAAGGTGGAGGTTGCAGTGAGCTGTGATGGCGCCACTGCCCTCCAGCCTGGGTGACAGAGCAAGAAATGCAAATCAAAACCACAATGAGATATCATCTCACACCAGTTAGAATGGAGATCATTAAAAAATCAGGAAACAGCAGGTGCTGGAGAGGATGTGGAGAAATGGGAACACTTTTACACTGTTGGTGGGACTGTAAACTAGTTCAAACATTGTGGAAGTCAGTGTGGCGATTCCTCTGGGATCTAGAACTAGAAATACCATTTGACCCAGCCATCCCATTACTGGGTATATACCCAAAGGAATATAAATCATGCTGCTATAAAGACACGTGCACACGTAGGTTTATTGTGGCACTACTCACAATAGCAAAGACTTGGAACCAACCCAAATGTCCAACAATGATAGACTGGATTAAGAAAATGTGGCACATATACACCATGGAATACTATGCAGCCATAAAAAAGGATGAGTTCATGTCCTTTGTAGGGACTTGGATGAAACTGGAAACCATCATTCTCAGCAAACTATCGCAAGGACAAAAAACCAAACACCGCGTGTCCTCACTCATAGGTGGGAATTGAACAATGAGAACATTTGGACACAGGAAGGGGAACATCACACACCAGGGCCTGTTGTGGGGTGGGGGGAGGGGAGAGGGATAGCATTAGGAGATATACCTAACGTAAATGACGAGTTAATGGGTGCAGCACACCAACATGGCACATGTATACATATGTAACAAACCTGCACGTTGTGCACCTGTACCCTAGAACTTAAAGTATAATTATATATATATATATCAAGACTGTCTCAAAAAAAAAATCATAGAGAAAACAGATGGTACCCTCAGGCTAGGTAGTTAAAAGAATTTAATAAAGGAATGTTAGAGGCTGGGGGTGGTGGCTCACACCTGTAATCCCAGCACTTTGGGAGGCCAATGAGGGCAGATCACCTGAGGTCAGTAGTTTGAGACCAGCCTGGCCAACATGGCGAAATCCTGTCTCTACTAAAAATACAAAAATTAGCCATGTGTGGTGGTGCGCATCTGTAGTCCCAGCTACTTGGGAGGCTGAGGCAGGAGAATCACTTGAACCTGGGAGGCGGAGGTTGCAGTGAGCTGATATTGTGCCACTGTACTCCAGCCTGAGTGACAGAGTGAGACTCCATCTCAAAAAGTAAATAGGCTGGGTGCAGTGGCTAACGCCCGTAATCCCAGCACTTTGGGAGACTGAGGTGGGTGGATCACAAGGTCAGGAGTTCAAGACCAGCCTGACCAACATGGTGAAACCCTGTCTCTACTAAAAATACAAAAATTAGCCAGGCACAGTAGCTCACGTCTGTAATCCTAGCACTTTGGGAGGCCGAGGCGGGCAGATCACGAGGTCAGGAGTTCGAGACCAGCCTGGCCAATATGGTGAAACCCCATCTCTACTAAAAATACAGGAAGTAGCGGGGCGTGGTGGTGCGTGCCTGTAGTCCCAGCCACTCGGGAGGCTGAGGCAGAAGAATCACTTGAATCCAGGAGGCGGAGGTTGCAGTGAGCTGAGATTGCACCACTGCACTCCAGCCTGGGCCACAGAGTGAGACTCCGTCTCCAAAAAAAAAAAAAGAAAGAAAAAAATACAAAAATTAGCTGGGCATGGTGGGTGCACGCCTGTAATCCCAGCTACGCAGGAGGCTGAGGCAGGAGAATCGCTTGAACCCAGGAGGCAGAGGATGCAGTGAGCCGAGATTGGCCACTGCACTCCAGCCTGGGCAACAGGGCAGAAAAAAAAAAATAAAATAGTAGCAGTTCATATTGAAAAGGCTATGGGGAAACAAGCACTGCTTACATATCTATCTGGTGGGACTGTAAAAGTACAATCTTTTAAGAGGACAATTTCTATTAAAAAGCCTTATAATTACTTGGCAATTTCACCTTAGAAATTTATGTGAAAAAGTCAAATAACAAAGACAGTATTGTTTATAATAGTGAAGGAGGTAGAAAGTAACATAGATGGCCAACTATAGATTTATAGTGCATCCACATTATGGAAAACCGAAAAAAAATACAAAGGTCCTGAGTCTGAAAAAAAAAGCATTATGAAAAGCTATATTTAAAAGAATACATATGGATGTGAGTAATGAACACTTAACAATGTAGGAAAATATTCATGCAAATTTTCTAAAAAGCAGTTTGGTTAAAAATAGTATGTGCAGAGAATTAGGTCAAAGTTGCAGTTATGTAAGATGCGGAAGTCTAGAGATCTAATGTACAGCATAAGGATTATAGTTAACAACATTGTATTATATCCTGAAAATTTGCTGAGAGGAGATTTTATAGACTCTTTCCTCAAAAAAACCGAAAAAAGGTAACTATGGAAGATGAAGGATAGGATAATTTGCTTGACTGTAGTTTACTGTGCATATACATATCAACATCATGTACACCTTAAATATATAGAATAAAAAATAGTGTGTGCAGTGATACGGTTCAGGACCTACCACCCCAAAATGTGGCACCTTGGCATTTGAGAACACAGTAGAAGCAGGAAGATCATTCTCTGACCTTCTTCCACCCTTCTCCCCTAAAACAGGTCTTAAGACCCTCATTTGAGAGATGCCTTCCCTGTACCTGGAGGAAAGAAACATCTTTATCTCTGAAGACACAGGGCCACAGAGAAGAGTCTGAACAAACAGGCTTTACCAATTTCCCCCAGTTGTTACCGTTAGATCAGACCTTTGTCCAGTCATATCCTTCCACAAGTTGTCCACTCATCAACCCTAAGCATAAAAATGCACAAGTTTCCTTGTTTGTTTGGGTCTTCATTTCCAAGGGCTCCTATGTCATGTTAAACTTTTAAATAAATTTGCATGCTTTTCTCTTGTGAATCTGGTTTTTGTTATAAGGGCCTTAGCCATGAACCTAAGATGGTAAGGGTTTCTTTTCCCCTACATGCAATATAAGTGGATTTAAATTTTATTAAAATAAATAGAAAAATACCTCCCCAGTGTAGACATGTGTGTATGTGTGAGGCGCCCAGGCAACTTGTGGTTCCACTTGGAGACGAGCCTCTCCTCTGTACGTCCTTCCCAAAATATCACCTTTGCAGTTAAGATCAAACTTTGATTTATGTGGGACTAACTAACAACTGCAGTCGACAATAGGAAAGCAGCCAGAATGATTCCCTGCCGACGTGGTGGAATTATTAGACTCCCATTCTCACAGCATGGTAATTAAAGTGTTAAAATGGAGAGGCACAGGACCAAGGAAGAACGCATCCAGAAATTACCCGCACCCAGTCATTTTCAGGGCACTCATCTAATCCTGTCAATGGAACTTTTTGAGATGGCTCTAAATTTCAGTGTGGTTTAGAAGTCCTTCAAGTAGTACGGAATTTTTTCACTGTCTCTGTCATCAGTGAGATTTCTGTCAGGCATCTCAGCTTGTAGGCCATGTAGTCTGTCACAACTCCTCCCCCTTGTGGCTGTAGGGTGAAAGCAGCCGCAGACAATTCCTAGAAGGAGTAGGCTGTTTATGGACACTGAAATTTGAATTTCATGTATTTTTAATGTGTCATGAGATATTCTCTCGATTTTTTTCCAACAATTTAAAACTGTAAAAACTATCCTTAGCCTGCAGGCTATACAAAAACAGCTGTTTGCCAATCCTTGCACTAGCTTTGTGAGGGAGGCACAGCTCGCACCCAGCACAGGACCTAGCAAAATCGAAGATGCTCAGTAAATGTTTATTGAATGAATTCAGTGGACAGATGACCAGAAAAACCCCATGATGCCTCAGAAATACACTCCAAAGGAACTTTTACAATGTAGTTTTCACATAGTTATTTCATTTATATTTGTTTTGTAACATTTGTACTGCTTTTCGCTTATTTACTTTTGAGACAAGGTCTCTGTCTCCCAGGCTGGAGTGCAGTGGTGCGATCTCAGCTCACTGCAACCTCTGCTTCCCAGGTTGAAGTGATTCTCCTGCCTCAGCCTCCTGAGTAGCTGGGATTACAGGCATGAGCCACCATGCCTGGCCGGGAATTCATCTTATTTTATAAAACTGCCAAAGTTATCAAAAATAAACTAAAACCAGGCCGGGCACGGTGGCTCACACCTGTAATCCCAGCACTTTGGGAGGCTGAGGCAGGCGGATCGCTTGAGCTCAGGAGTCGGAGATGAGCCTGGCCAACATGGTGAAACCCTGTCTCAACTAAAAATACAAAAAGCAGCCGGGCATGGTGGCGCACGCCTGTAGTCCCAGCTACTCCGGAGGCTGAGGCAGGAGAATCGCTTGAATCTGGGAGGCAGAGGTTGCAGTGGCCAAGATCGCGCCACTGCACTCCAGTCTGGGCAACAGAGTGAGACTCTGTCTCAAAGGAAAAAAAAAAAAGATGGATTCCCAAAATGGAGCCCTACTTTTATAAGAATGCATTTACAAGGGTTCGACCTACAATGGTTTAACTTGTGATTATTCTTCGGGAACCTGTCAGGCCCAGGGTCAGGGGAGACCTTGAACATACAGACAAGCCTGGGACGGTATATAACAAAATGCTGAGCTCAACAATGCGAAAATTTTCTTTTGAGTTTCTTCTTGCCTGAAACTGTGTATGTCATTAATGCTGAATTAATTCACAACTTGCCTACGCTTATTTCCTCCTCTGTGAAATGGGGAAGATAAATATTTGTCTAAATTACAGGCTTGTCAAAGTATCAAATGTAACATGCAAACACTCTGGAAACAAAAAAGTGATACCAGAACACAGTGTTACAACTACACCTCTTTATGATCCCTAGCTGCATTCTTGTTATTAATTTTCCCCTGCCTTCCCACTCCTTCAAAACTAGAAGCTCCTTGAGGGCAGAAACTGTGGCTTACTCATCTATCAACTTCACAGCACAGTTCCTTGTCCCTGATGTAGGTAGGAGATACTTATTTACTGCAGTGAAACAATTAAACAATATTTGTAAGTAGCAAACAAGTGATGACATTCAACAAACTTGGTAAGGAGGAATGAATGGAACTTTTAATTACAACATGTTTTTGGATATGTGTAATGTTAGTCTTTTCTTTATTCCTGAATCTCCACAGCCAAATTCTACTAAGAAACAATGTAGTGAGAAGTTTTATAAGAAATGACAGACTGCATCTTTGGTTCCTGGGTCATAAAAAAAAAAAAAGTGACAGACACAGATAAAGTTCACTATAAATTTTAATCTATGATATAAAATATTACCTAAAGATAAAATTGAACATCATGTATCAGAAAATAAAACATAACAATGAAATGCAATTTCGTAAATACTTCTATGGCACAAGGATTATTTTCCTCAGATTCAACCTTGTAATTGTGTTGTTTGCTTTCTGAAAATCACACTTTATAAAGAACACAAGTAGAGCTTGTTAAAAATGATTGTCACAGATGTACTGTTTACTAATTCAAAGAACACTATATTCATTCATATCAATTTTATTCATTAATTATGAACAATAAAATATAATATTCCATGCTTTTCATGAAATAGTGGTTTCTTCTTCCAGTCTAATCAGGGAACTAATAAATGCTTAGTTCATGGGAAAACTTCCATTTGATTTACATTGACTTAATTACTTCTTAGGGTCTAGCCTCATCCATGGAGAAAAAGCACTTTTTCTTGAGGCAACAGCAAATTAACAGCACTGATACAAAATATGGCAAATTCAATGGTTGTAGCATTGCTTTAGGAATTTTGAGACTATAAATAAAACTATAACCATAAATAAAAGGGCTTATTAATATCTTCTTTTCAGGAGAGTGATACATTCTGAAGTTTTCTTGTTATTCTGTTGAATAGCAAGGACTTCCAAACTTAAATGTCTTAAGGCTGAAAATTAGTTATATTCCTCAAATTTTAGCCTTATTAATGAAATTCCAAAAGTATTATAAAATAAGATTCAATTTGTCTTGAAATTATAAATTTGTAACAGATATTTTTCAAAATACATGCCTTCAAACAACTTAAATGCAAAAATCATTCATTCTTAATAATACCTAGCAGTTCATGCCTTGCTTCGCAAAAGTACTCAT